>NC_000005.10:86776473-87079503 GCF_000001405.40 Homo sapiens
CTTCCTTCAGGAGTTCTTGTAATGCTGGCCTGGTGGTGACAAAATTTCTCAGCATTTGGTTGTCTGTTAAGGATTTTATTTCTCCTTCATTTATGAAGCTTGGTTTGGCTGGATATGAAATTCTGGGTTGAAAATTATTTTCTTTAAGAATGTTGAATATTGGCCCCCACTCTCTTCTTGCTTGTAGGGTTTCTGCTGAGAGATCAGCTGTTAGACTCATGGGGTTCCCTTTATGGGTAACCCAACCTTTCTCTCTGGTTGCCCTTAACATTTTTTCCTTCATTTCAACCTTGCTGAATCTGACAGTTATGTGTCTTGGGGTTCCTCTTCTTGAGGAATATCTTTGTGGTGGGTGGTCTCTGTATTTCCTGAGTTTGAATGTTGTCCTGCCTTACTAGGTTGGAGAAGTTCTCCTGGATAATATCCTGCAGAGTGTTTGCCAATTTGATTCCTTTCTCCCCATCACTTTCAGGTACACCAATCAAACATAGATTTGGTCTTTTCACAAAGTCCCATATTTCTTGGAGGCTTCGTTCATTTCTTTTCACTCTTTTTTCTCTAATCTTGTCTTCTCACTTTATTTCATTAAGTTAATCTTCAATCACTGATATCCTTTCTTCAACTTGACTGGTTCCGCTATTGAAGCTTGTGTATGCTTCATGAAGTTCTCATGCTGCACTTTTCAGATCCATCAGGTCATTTATGTTCTTGTCTACACTGGTTATTCTAGTTAGCAATTTGTCTAACCTTTTTTCAAGATTCTTAGCTGTCTTGCATTGTGTTAGAACATGCTCCTTTAGCTCAGAGGACTTTGTTATTACCCAACTTCTGAAGCCTACTTCTGTGAATTCATCAAACTCATTCTCCATCCAGTTTTGTTCCATTGCTTGCAAGGAGTTGTGATCCTTTGGAGAAGGAGAAGAGGTGTTATGATTTTTTAAATTTTCAGCCTTTCTGCGCTTGTTTCTCCCCATCTCTGTGGTTTTATCTACCTTTGGTCTTTTATGTTGGTGACCTGCAGATGGGGTTTTGGAGTGGACCTCCTTTTTGTCGATGTTGATGCTATTCTTTTCCGTTTGTTAGTTTTTCTTCTAACAGTCTGGTCCCTCAGCTGCAGGTCTGTTGGAGTTTGCTGGAGGTCCACTCCAGACCATGTTTGCCTGGGTACCACCAGTGGAGGCTGCAGAACAGCAAATATTGCTGCCTGATCTTTCCTCTGGAAGCTTCATCCCAGAGGGGCACCTGCTAGATGCCAGCCAGAGCTCTCCTGTATGAGGTGTCTATAGGCCCCTACTGGGAGATGTCTCCCAGTCAGGCTACACAGGGGTCAGGGACCCACTTGAGGAGGCAGTCTGTCCATAATCAGAGCTCAAAAGCTGTGCTGGGAGAACCACTTTTCTCTTCAGAGCTGTCAGGCAGGGACATTTAAGTCTTCTGAAGCTGTGCCCATGGCTGCCGCTTCCCCCAGGTGCTCTGTCCCAAGGAGATGGGGGATTTATCAATAAGTCCCTGACTGGGGCTTCTGCCTTTTGTTCAGAGATGCCCTGCCCACAGAGGAATCTAGAAAGGCAGTTGGCCTTGCTGAGCTGTGGTGCGCTCCTCCCAGTTCGAACTTCCTGGCAGCTTTGTTTACACTGTGAGCATAAAACCACCTACTCAAGCCTCAGCAATGGCAGACACCCCTCCTACCACCAAGCTCCAGCGTCCCAGGTCGCTCTCAGACTGCTGCGCTAGCAGCGAGAATTTCAAGCCATTGGATCGTAGCTTGCTGGACTCTGTGGGCCTGGGACCCACTGAGCCAGGCACCGGAGGGAATCTCCTGGTCTGCCAGTTGTGAAGACCATGGGAAAAGCATAATATCTGGGCAGAAGTGTACTGTTCCTCCTAGTACAGTCTCTCATGGCTTCCCTTGGCTAGGAAAGGGAAATCCCCCAACCCCTTACACTTCCCGAGTGAGGCGCTCCCCACCCTGCTTTGGCTTGCCCTCAGTGGGCTGCACCCCCTGTTCAACCAGTCCCAATGAGATGAACCAGGTACCTCAGTTGGAAATGCAGAAATCACCGGTCTTCTGCATCAATCTCACTGGGAGCTGCAGCCTGGAGTTGTTCCTATTTGGCCATCTTGCAAAGATTTTTATAATTGAAGCTGATTTGCTAAGAATAATAAGAATTTACACAACATTAGATGATTTGTATATGCCACTTGAAACTAGTTTATTCCATCTACTGATTGCCACACAAAATATAGTTGATAAAACTACATACTGATTAAACTATATCTTAAACAGGATTTTATAAAATGACTTGAGCTGATATTCTTAAATTCAGTGGATGTATCATCTGTTATACTATTTATACTCTTTCCTAGGTACTGTCAGCATGTAAAATACATAGCTTTCTGGCGTTGCCTAAACTCTCAGTAGTGCCTTTTACTAGAACTTTCTGCAGTGAGGGAAATGTTTTCTATATGCACATGCTCCAGTAAAATAAGTGTTAGCCACAGGTGGTACTAGAACTTAAAAGGTGATTACTATGAAAGAAAAAAATACATTTTTATTTTATTTTATTTTAATCAGTTTAAACTTAAATAGCCACATATAGTTAGTGGCTACTGTATTGAACAGTTAAAGAATTTCCTTTAAATATATATATATATATATATATTTGATTATTTGCTGTTCAGTTTGTTTAAGTTCCTTATATATTCTGATTATAAATCCCTTGTCAAATAGTCAAATAGTATGCAAATACTTTCTCCCATTCTATATGTTGTCTTTTGACTTTGTTGATTGTTTATTTTGATGTGCAGAAGCTTTTTGGCTTGACGTAATCCTACTTGTGTATTTTTGCTTTTGTTGCCTGTGTTTTTGGGGACTTATCTAAAAAATTCTTGCCCAAACCAATGTCCTGAAACATTTCTCCAATATTTTTTTCTAGTGGTTTCAGTGGTCAGGTTTTACATTTCAGTTATTAATCCAGTTTGATTTGATGTTTGTATATGGTGAGTGATAGGGGTCTAGCTTGATTTTCCCATATATGATTATCCAGTTTTCCCAACACCAATTATTAAAGAAACTACCCTTTCCCCAGTATATATTCTTGGTGCCTTTGTCAAAAATGTGTTGCCTAAATGCCTGGATTTATTTCTGGGTTCTCTATTCTGTTCCATTGGTTTATGTGTCTGCTTTTAAGCCAATGGCATGCTGTTTTGGTTTCTGTAGCTTTGTAGCATAATATGAAGTCAGGTAGTGAGATCCCTCCAGCTTTGTTCCTTTTGCTCAGGATTGCTTTAGATCTTTGGGCTCTTCTGTGGTTCCATACATATTTTAGACTTGTTTTTTCTATTCCTGTGAAGAATAGCATTGGTATTTTGGTAGGGATTTCATTGAATCTGTAGATTGCTTTGGAGAGTATAGACATTTTAACAATATAAATTCTTCCAATCTATGAGCATGTGTTGCTGTTGGTTTTCTTTTCTTTTTTTTTTTTTGGTCTCCTCCTCAATTTCTTTCATAAGCATTTTATGCTTTTCCTTATAGAGATCTTTCACTTCTGTGGTTAAATTTATTTCTAGGTATTTTATTTTAGTAGCTATTGAAAGTGGAATTGCTTGATTTTTTTTGTCTAATTGTTTGCTGTTGGCATATATAAATGTTACTGATTTTTTATGTTGACTTTGTATCCTACAACTTCACTGAATTCATTTATTGGTGCTAACAGTTTTTTGGTCCAATCTTTAGGTTTTTCTAACTATAAGATGATGTCATCTATAAATCTGATTTAAAAATGGACAAGTTACCCAAACAGACATTTCTATTTATTTATTTTTATTTTATTTTATTTTTTTGAGATAGACTCTCCCTCTGTTGCCCACACTGGAGTGTAGTGGTGCCATCTCTGTCCACTGCAACCTCCACCTCCCAGGTTCAAGTGATCCTCCTGCCTCAGCCTCCTGAGTAGCTGGAATTACAAGCACCCACCACCATGCCTGGCTAATTTTGTATTTTTAGTACAGATGGGATTTCACCATGTTGGCCAGGCTGGTCTTGAACTCCTGACCTCAAGTGATCCACCTGCCTTGACCTCCCAAAGTGCTGGGATTACAGGCATGAGCCACCTAGCCTGGCCCTGAATAGACATTTCCTAAAAGAAGACATATAAATGGCCAACAGGCATATAAAGAAATACTCAACATTACAAATAATTGGAGAAATGCAAATCAAAATCACAATGAGATATCTCACCCCAGCTAGAATGACTGTCTCAAAAAGACAAAAGGTAAGTATTGGCAAGGATATGGAGAAAGGGGGACTGTTAATACATTGTTACGGGAACATAAATTAGGATAGCCATTATGAAAATCAATATGGAGGCTCCTCAAAAAACTAAAAATGGAACTACCATATGATTCAACAATCCTACTTCTGATTTTAGATCCAAAAGAAAGAAAAGCAGCACATTGAAAAGATATCTGCTTTTCCATGCTTATTGCACCACTAGTCACAATAGCCAAGCCACAGAGTCAGTCTAAGTGTCTGTCAACAGATAAAAGGATAAAGAAAATATGGTACATATACACAGTGGAATATTATTCAGTCATACAAAATGACAAAATCCTGTCATTTGCAGCAATATGGATAGAATTGGAGGACATTATATTAAGTGAAATAAGCCAGGCACAGAAAGATAAATACCACACAAATACCACGTTCTCACTCATGTGGGAGCTAGAAAACAGTCTCATGTAGGTAGAGAGTAGAATGGTAGTTACCAGAGGTTGGGAACTGTAGGAGTGGGGTAGGAGATGAAGAGAACTTGGTTAATGGGTACAAAAATACGGTTAGACAGAATAAATCAGTTCTAGTGTTTGATAGCATAGTAGGATGACTATAGCTAACAATTTGTTGTATATTTCAAAATAGCTATATAAAAGAGAAGATTTGGAATATTACCCACACTAAGTAATAAATGTTTGAGGTGATAGATATTCCAGTTACCCTAATTTGACTTTACATGTTATATGCACGTATCAAAATATCATATATACCTCAGACGTTTGTACAATCATTATGTATCAATAAAAGAAAGTGAAAAGACACAAAAAAAGAAAAAAAAACATTAAGGACAGGGCTGTCTAAAGACACATTTGATACTATGTTAATTATACAAAAATAAAGATATTGTACAGTGTTCAGTTTTTTAAAAATTGCTGCGGTGTAGTTCTAGCCTACTTTCTCTTCCTCTTGTTTCTTGCATCTAACTCTTTTTGTTTTTGTTGTTCTCACTGAATAAATGCTTTGCTATGAAGTTCTGTGGGTGTAAACTCTCTTTGTCTTGGAAAAAAAAATCCTCATTTTTTCAAACTCGTGAATAGTCATTGGGTTGATATAAAATTCTATGCTGACAGTTATTTTTCCTCAGCATTTTGAAGCTATTGTTCCATTACGTCCTGGCATCTATTTTTGCTAATAAAGAGTTAGCTAGAATTTATTTGAGTTATGTTTTTTTCTCTCTTTCAAGCAGTATTTTCTTTATTCTTGATAGTCTATAGCTTCACTATTATGGGTCTTGGTGTGGATTTAATGGTATTCTGCTTGGTACTTTGAAGTATATTTTCAATTTAAGGACTCGTAGCTTTCTTCAGTTCTGGAGAATATTCTGCTCTTGTGTGTGCAAATGCAGCATCTCCACTATTTTCTCTGTTTTCCTCTGAAATTTCAGAGGTGTCTCAGTCTATCTTCCATATGTCTTCCCCTCTTATCTCTTTATCTCACTAGCAAATTGGTGAATTGGATAAGAATTCTGGTGAAATCCTCACCCAATTCACTAGTTTCCTCTTAGATTGTGCTAATTGAGCAATGTCCTGTGTTATTTTAATGCCATCAAAATCAAATCAAGGATTTGCACAAGAGTGTTTTTCTTTGGAATTTTGGATTGAAGACTCATTAAATGTTAAATGGGAAGTTCTTTTTTTTTTCCTTACTCTTCAACACTGTTAAATACAGGATATCGCTCAATTAGCACAAGAGTATTTTTCTTTGGAATTTTGGATTGCAGACTCATTTGAATTGGAAGTTCTGGGGTTTTTTTATTTTTATTTTTATTTTCCCCTTACTCTTCAAACCTGTGATCGACTCCACTCAGGCCCTTGAGGACACTAATCTTTACTCAGTCTTATATTGAGAGATGGGACTTCTTCCTGAGTTATACATTAGATGTCAGAAATCCTGTCCCCCTATCTGCAGGCAATTTAGTTTGCTTCCTGATCAACAGACTGTGTCTGTATTCTGTCACCTTTCTAAGTTGGAATGTTAACCAAGCTGTAGACTTGGGAGATTGTCTGCAGCATATTTGTTCATACTCCTTTTGTGAGCAGGGTAACTCATCCCATTAGTGAGAAAGGTCTAGTACCTCATCGTGTGGAACATGTTTAATCTCTGACTCTATAAGGGCCAAACTCCCAGTGATCTCTACCTGCTTCAGCACCTGAAGTCCATCAAAACAATAACTCCAGCCCTGATCATGGCTGTGTATTTCTGTCCAATTTCTGGATCACAGAGACATTATTCTCATTTTTTGGTGTTTTCTCTGATATTGTTGTGTTTAGAACAGAAGGGGTACCTCCAAGTGCAGACTTATAATGTCATTTTAAAAAGACATCTGCCTTGGCTTTTCTGCCACGTGTTGATCCCCTGAAGGTATGGACTTATCTTAGCATCTTTATATATTTAAAATCTAAAACAGTATATGTCTTTGTGCTTCTAAAACAGAAATCTGAGACTGGATAATATATAGTAAACAAATTTATTGACTCATAATTTTGGAGGCTGAAGTCTATCGTCAGAGCATCAGCAGGTTTGGTGTCTGGTGATGCCATTCCCCACCTTCAACCCTATGTTTGATTCTTCCACATCCATGGTGTGTCCTCTGAAGGGGAGGAAGGCTGGATCCTCACAGGGCAGAAAAGCCAAGATATAAAAGGGGGCCAAACTCATCCTTTTTAATGGCCTTAATCCCACCAGTGAAGATGAAGCCCTTATGGTCCTATCATCTCTTAATGGTCTCAGCTCCTAACACTGCCACAACAGCAACCCAATTTCAATATGAGTTTTGCAGGGGACAAACATTCAAACTGTAACAGTACACAATACTTGTGACTTAATAAACATATTCTTAAATAAATAATAAATATTCCCCTCTTTTGAAGCCAATGGCTTTAATTGGTTTCAGTTAATGCAGCTATAGATCTACAAGTGGTATGGAAACCAGATTGAGTAAAAGCCAAGAGAGGGTTAGGTCATTCCTAGGGTAGATTTCCAACTACACTATTCTCTAAATAAATGTTCACAGATGCAGATAAGCCTGTGAACATCTCCTGAGAAAGTGGGTTATTTATGCTGTAGATAATTTTATTTACTATGGGCCATCTCTACTCACAACCAATTTAAATGTTTGAAATGAATCAACCAGTTATAGTTTCATGTTGGTAATGCAGCAGTCTAACCCAAAAGTGTGGTGGTAGACATATTTAGAGCAGCTAAATCGGAACTTAACAGGTTTATATGTTAATGCACATATATTTCATTCTCAAAAAATACTTCAGGCCCTCACTTAAAGTCTATTTAATCTTGTTTTACACAAATATTATCAAATTTGACTCTCTGGTTTCCCAGAAGATCAAAAAGGAGGGAGAAAAATGCTACAGGCCAGCTGGTAGGTAAATTGAGATAATTGAAAAATAAATATTAATAATTAGGCAGGGTAAAGAGACTTGTATAAAATCATTTTGCTGAATCTGTTTTTGTTTTTTGTACTTAGAGAATCACTATATTATAGCCAAGAACAATTACTGACCTATAATTTATATTGAGACACTAAGAAAAGATTTAACTATGTTCACTAAATTCTGTGGTGGTTAGGGAGAAGCATGGTGAACACTGTGGCAATATTTACTTGCAAAAATTATTTAGTAGTATTCAAAATTATTTGTTAACTAATAATTGTACTCTATATAGCTGAGATAGTAGAATTGCTTCAGTCTCATTTAACTTCTGCCAAAATCATCTATATATTTTTGAGGAGCATAGAGTGGAGAGAAAGAGATTGAGAAGTTAAATAGGTTAGGTGTTGCTAATCACCATTCTTCATAATGCCCTGGAATGGATGAGATGGCAAATGTGATTCAATTTTTACCACATAGAGTCTCAGTTCCTACAGACCTCTCATCACATAGAAAGCCCTCACCTAAGCTAAGTAGGATACTAACTTTTAAAGGTATACTTTGGGGGAGGGAAGGTTTACAACAGAGCCAACAAATTACTTCATCTGGTTTTAAGTCCAAACTGTGATCTGTTGCAATGCCAGGGCTGAGGGGCTGTGGGACTGTCTCTGATAGATTTATAGAACAATGGTATGGTGATTGCTAATGTGGTCCCTTACGGATGAATTTTTAAGGTAATGTTACTTTCTTTGATTTTTTGTCATATGTGCCAATCTTCTGATCAAAGCTACAACTGAGAGGCAACTCCATAGTAATTAAACACACCAAGCAATGTAAGAGACAGAATACTCCCTGGCTTATAGGTACTTTTATCTCTTGTGCCTAGCACATAGTAGGTTTATATTAACTTTTAAAAATAAATACTTTTTAAACACTACTTTCCAGTGGAAAACCCAAAAGATACTACTGCTAGTTTACCCAGTATTTATCTGATTATTTCAGATTGCAGTATAATATTTGTGAAAGTAGAAACCTCATCTACCTTTTCCACTTCTATTTCTTGAGGATCTAGTACATGGTAGAAGTGTAATCAATATTCTGACATCCGTAAGTGAATGAGTAAATCAATCTAAAGTTGATGTAGGCACTCTTAGTCTTTAAGATGTGTTTTAAATTTTACTAGCAGCTAAGTGAGTCTGGTTAGGACTAAGAAACATATAGCAAGTAAAATAAGTGACTTTACTTAAGAATTTGAAGAGAAATTAATGACAATTTACATAATTAGTCAAGATCTTAATTGACTAACTCATGTTCATCACTTCTGTGCCTTTTAAGACCTTTAGGATGTATGAGAAAACATAAAATGATGTTTACCTATGTTTTAATTGAAAATGTCCAAGTGAATCAGGGGCTATAGTAGTTGATTATAATTATGTATGTATGTGTGTATATATATGTTGTATGTATATATATCAAATGTATATATCATATATGTGGGTGTCTATGTATATAAGTATATATATGTATGTGTGTGTCCATGTACGTATGAAATAGCATTACATCTCAAACACCCACTATGTTATATTTTTCAATGAATCTTTCCTCATATTCTCCCCTAGACCAACTGACTATGATGCATTCTGGATTTCAGCATCACTTATAAAGGTGAAGCAGACCCACGGGATCTATGAGCCTGTGGGCAACTAAACAGTAAATTATCATAAACTATATTTTGTCTGATTGCTTGAGAGAAGTTGGAGACATTCTGAGTCGGAATTACTCAATAACTGGCAAGGAGCAAGAGAACCTTCCCTCTTCAGAAAATAAATTATCTTTCACAATTCATCAAGGGTCTTTCTTAGGAAATCCAAATACCAAGTGAAAGAGTTACTGTCACTCTTAAGCTGAGTCAGATAAATGTTAACACGGTAGGGAAAAACAATTAGCAAGAAATAGAAAATCAGAAACACAAAATGAGCCCAAATCCATTTTCTTCTCTGAGAAAATCTTTTTCATTTTGCTTCTCCCAAAAACTTTTCTTTTTTATCTTTATTGTGGATTAGAGAAGTTGCCTCATTCCCCTAGAGTTCTGAAATTTATCCCTAAGCTTTTTTAAGGGTGAAATTCTAAGGTCTACACTTTATGTATAAGATCTGTCTTCAAGTTGTATTTATTTGTCAGCATAGCTAGATTGAAATTCTTTGACAGCAGCAATGGTTTTACAGTATTCTGTATTTTGTTTAAGTTAAATTGTACCACTCACACTAATGAAATAGATAACAACAAATCATACCACTAGTTTCACAAGCCATTGCTCCCTTATGTTCTCAAATATTGACTTGGCTTCATTTTAGAAGGCTGTACCTGACCTACTGGAATATAATATATTCATAAATGGCCTCTTTCTGAAAGCTATTTGCAAAAAAAAAAAATTTCCCTCTCTTTCGTTGTCCAAAGGCTTGGTGATTTAGTGGACAGTCTAAATCTTCTGAAATTTGTTTGCTACACACACACACACACACACACACACACACACACACACACACACACAGAGATCACACAAATGCAAACAAAAAAGAGAATGCTTGATATGGCAATATTAAATCTAGAACAGACAAAAATGTTTGGCATGTTTTCTGGCCTTCAATCTAGTAAATAAGTGGACTACCAAAAATAAAGGAAAAAAATAAAACTGGGCAAGTAGAGAAGACAAAGCAGGACAAAGATGTTGTGTTCCTGGAAGCATATTCGAGATAAAAGGAAAATATAAATCAAGCTGAGAAAATGTCCTTTGAGTGGCTTCCTGATGGAATGACACAATCACATGTTGAGAGCCATATGGGAGAGTTCAAACAGTTTTAGACCTGAGCCCAGAGGGCACTGAGGAGCCTGGCTGGGAGAGTAATTTGTTTTGTTTCTTGGAAGGAAGGCCAGAATGACTGATGCTTTGACAGTTCTGCTGGCTGATCAGCAACTCCCCCAACATTTCCTAAGCCTTTTATGAGAGATAAGACTAGAAGGGCAGAGACTATGTAGAGGGCGATGACAGGGAACAACACTCAGACTAAAAAGAGAGCCTGACACTACAAGCACATTCTAGTCAGACACAAGCTCGCACTGATTAAGCTGTTCACATGATTTTATATGGCCACTTTTACCAAGCTGTGTTTCTTCAAAAAAGAGCGACTTGTATTTCCATTGATATTAGGAAAATGGTAGGGTCTTTTAACATAAAATTGTGACACCACTTCCTCCTTTTACCGAAGTAAAAAATTTGAAAAGTCAAGGAGATGATGAAAATCAATATAAATTTTTTTTTGAGACAGTCTTGCTCTGTTGCCCAGGCTGGAGTGCAGTGGCACTATCTTGGCTCACTGCAACCTCCACCTCCCAGATTCAAGCGATTCTCCTGCCTCAGCCTCCCTAATAGCTGGGACTACAGGCACGTGCCACCATGCCCTGCTAATTTTTGTATTTTTAGTAGAAACGGGTTTTCACCATATTGACCAGGCTGGTCTCAAACTCCTGACCTCGTAAGCCACCCGTCTCGGCCTCCCAAAGTGTTGGGATTACAGGATTGAGCCACTGTGCCCGGCGATTTTTTTTCTTAAAAAATAGATGGCTACAAGAAAACATTTTCATTTTGGTTTAGAGGAAATCACACACTGAAAGTTTAAATTTTGTGCAGCATACAACCTACATATTAGAGAATTTCTATTATCAGAAATTAAATTAAATTCATTTCTAACCAGCAAAGAAATACTAGAAATTCAACATTTAAAATACTTCTCATTATTAACAAGCTAAAGACAAACTGTTGGAGAGTAAAAGATGTCAAAGAATTAAAAATGTGAGGTATTTGCATATATAGCTGCTCTCTGAAACCAATCTATCCCACCCAGAGAACTCCATGTAGACACAGATTACATGCTGAAAAATATACACGCTAAAGCAGTGTTATAAGTGATATAAAAGACAAAAAAAAATGCATCAAGCAGTTAAGGAGATAATTTTATTTAGGCCTTTATAATCAGGAGAATGTAAATATTCATTAATGAGAAACATCTTAAAAGGAAGAGGACTTGGGCCCCAAAATTAGACAAAGGAGTCATCAGATAATCTTTTAGGAGTCATCATAATGATGGAGACATGTGTTATCTAAGTCACTGAGGAAAGATGGAGATGGATTTTATCTTGCAATATGAGATTTCAGGTGGTCCTTGGTGGTTAACCATTCCTGAAACCCATTAAAGTGTGGAAATTTTTTCTAAAAGCACAGGTCTCAGACAAAGTTCAATGTGGCAATGGAAAGTAAAAAGGTGTCCACCTAGTTCTGGTTGCATGCATGCGGCACTAACCTTTCATTGGAGTAAGGTTTTCTGTACTGATTGCTATAATGTGTCTAAATTATTTATCAGAGTCTCAAGAAAAGAGAAGGAAAGAAAGGGGAGGGGATACAAGGGGTGTTGAGAGTTTCAATATTAATTAAGCAGAGCAGTTGATAATTTCAAGGAAACAAAAGATGAATTCACAGAGAAGAATTAACATGACCTCTGAGAACTTAAAGTACAATGAAAGAAAGATAACAAATAGAGACATTTATACCAGAGTTAGAAGAGCTAATGGTATAAAAAGAATTTAATACTTTGTATAAGCATAATAGATTTCCTCAGAGACATAAGAATTTTGGAACCCAATAGAAGATATTAGGTATAAAATATATAATTGTTGAAATTATACAGTGGATGAATTGAATAGTAGGATATAGAAAGCTGAAAAACAAATTAGTGAACTAGAATATAATGGTGAAAGAGCTCTTTAAAGGCCCCAGGAAAAGAAAAAATAAAAGGAAGAACAATAAAAAGATAAAGGGGAAGAAAGTGAACATTTTAACACCTATATAATAAAGGCCTCAGCCGGGCGCAGTGGCTCACGCCTGTAATCCCAGCACTTTGGGAGGCCAAGGTGGGCGGATCAGGTCGGGAGTTCGAGACCAGCCTGACCAACATGGAGAAACCCCATCTCTACTAAAAATACAAAATTAGCCAGGCAGCCTGTAATCCCAGCTACTCAGGAGGCTGAGGCAGGAGAATCACTTGAACCCGGGAGGCGGAGGTTGTGGTGAGCCGAGATCATGCCATTACACCCCAGCCTGGGCAAAAAGAGTGAAACTCCGTCTCTAAATAAATAAATAATAAAATAAAATAAAGTAAAATAAAAATATAATAAAGCCCTCAAAAGAAGGAAAAAATTTTACCCAGATTTAAAGAATGATAAAAACTCTCAGATAAAAAGACAGAGTGGACAGAATAGATCCTGAAAACCCTATACCACAGAAAACTCCAGTGAAATTTAAGAACATCAAGAGAGAAAGTCTTGTAAGCTTCTAGAGAGAAAAAAAGATCATCTAAAAAGCGAAAATTGAATTGATGTTAGACTCCTGTATAGCAACACTGAATAGTATTGAGGGAAAAATATTATTTAGATTTTTATAACCAACTAGCTGTTACTTAAGGTAAGGGCAAATAAAGTTTTTTCTTTCGTGCATACAACATCACAGAATTCTTAGTATGCAGAGACTCACCATCCTAATTCAGGTAGTTTGAAACGACCGTGAAATCTGCACTTGGGAAATACATGCAAGGTGATTTTGATGCAGAAAGTTCAGAGATGATTCACAGAATTTCCTTCCAGGGGAACTTAATTTAAAAAATGTAATTGTGAGCCCTTAGACTTGAAACTTTGGCTTTGATGAATAAGCCTGCAGAACTCAAAATAATAAGTAATAACTGCTAATAATCTTTGAGCCCTCATTCTCTTTCAGGTAACTTTTAGAATTTTTAAACTTATTTTTAAATTTTTAATTTTAAATACAGATTTACAAAAAAGTTGCAAAAATACTATAAGAAGCTCCCTTATACTCTTCTTTCAGTTTCTCCAAATGTTAAGTTACATAGCCATACTACAAGTATAAAAATCAGGAAATTAATAATATATTACTATTAATTAGTACCTACCTTATGAAAATTTCCGTAATTGTCTCATTCATGTCATGCTTCTGGTCTAGGAGCCAATCAAGAATCGCACATGGCATTTATTAGTCATTTCTCTTTAGTCTTCCAGTTTGTGACTGTCCCTCCGTCCCTGAGTCTTCCTTTGTCTTTCATGCCTTGATACTTTTAAAGAATACTGGCCAGTTATTTGTAAAATTTTTCTCAATCTGGGTTTGTTTGATATTTATTCATGATGAATTAATGTTACACATTTTTAGGAAGAATATTGCAGTAGTAATGCCGTCCTCTTCTTAGTAAATTTGAAGACACACAATTTTGATATATAGTCATGTAATGCGTAACAATGTTTTTGGACAACAATAGACCACATATAGCACAGTGGTTTCATAAGTTTATAACACCATAGTTTTACTGTACCTTTTCTATCTTTAGATACATAAATGCTTACCATTATATTATAATTGCCTACAGTATTCAGTACAGTAACTTAATGTGAAGCTTTTTAGCCTAGGAACAATAGTCTATACCATGCAGGTTGTATAAGTACACTCTGATGTTCCCACAAAGACAAAATTGCCAAATGCATTTCTCAGATCATTTGGATCATGTCTACTAGGTTTCTCCTCTGGACTTTTCCAAATAGTGACATTTTATTTCCATCAATCCTTCCTCATTTATTAATTCAAATTCTACCATAAGAAAGAGCTTTCCCTTCTTCATTCATCCATTTCAGTATAGACTAATAGACATTTTTCATCATATGAGTTATAATACATCACTATAATGAGTTTTTGCTCAAATAGTTCCAGATTTTGTCTTGGGATCTCCTTCAATTTATCTTCTGTGTGTTTTCAACCAGCTCATGTTATTTTTTGAATGCTACCTTATTTTTCAGCACTACAAAATGTTCCAAATTTGTCTTTATTTTCCCTGCCCCAGTCTTAAAACCAACCATTTCTCCAAGGGGGTCTTGGTTTGTTTTGTTAGAGAATGATGTTTGATACCAAGATCTGGAAGCTAGGTGTGTTCATTGCCAATGCTGTGTTATTGCTTCTAGGCCATTTCAGAGGAAAGCACTAAAAATATATATATGTATTCAACACATACTTCTTCATCTGTCTGTGTAAATATTAAAACCCATGAGTCGTGATTCTAATCTGACACTACAGGGTTCAGTCTAGCCTTTTCCATTTCCCTGGTGGAAATTCCTTTCTTCAAGGGAGAAAAAAAACTTGTTTCTCATTATCTAGAATATATTCATTTTCTCAATTCTAGAATACAAATAATTTCAAATTTGCTAATCCATACTTGTGTGAAAAACAAATTTACTAAGTAGAGTACAGTATTTGTATAAAGAGCTTCTGTTTTACCACGTAGAGTCAAAATACTGTTTTCCAAAGTTACTTGGATTAGTTTTTTTTTGTTCCCAACTGCCTTTACTGTGGTTATTTTATTCATTTGTAATAGAGTTGGATTCATTTGTTATGTTTCTATTTTATTTTGGATTCCACCCTCATCATGGTGAATTTTGTTTTATTTTTGAGCATGTAGAAACATTAACATGGTTCAAAAAGTCAGTTTTTTGGAAAGTTGTACGTAGAGATGTATCAATCCTTCTCATCCCCTGAACCGTATACTCCTTACTCTTTCTTTTTACCATATTCCCACCTATGTCCTCTATTTAACCAATCTGTTAGCTTCTGGTTTATTCATCCTGTATTTTCTTTTTGCACAAATAAGGAAATACATGTATATTTTCATATGGACCCCTGGTTTTATTTTTCTTACAGAAAAGGATGCATACTACAAATACTTTTGCACCTTACATTTTTTTTTTTTTTTTTACTGAATAAAATCCTAGGAATAACTACATGTCAGTTCATAGAAATAGTCCTAATTCTTTTCTGTAGCTGTATCCTACTCAATTTTCTGAATGTATGATACCTTATTTAGCCACTCTCCAAGGTTTGGGCATTTAAGTTGTCTATAGCACTTTGCAACTACAAACAATCCTGCAATGAATAACCTTGCGCATATACATTTTTTATATTCCTTGAAGTGGATTCTTAAAATGAGATTGTTAGGTCAAAAGATAAGTGCATATATAGCTTTGTTATTACCAGATTTCTCTCCAGAAGACTGGTACAAGTTTGTGTTCTCACAAGTGATACATGAAAAAATGCCTATTTTCTCAATGCCTTGCTAATAAACATGTTATGCTTTTCAATTTTTGGTATTCTTACAGGTGATAAGAGGTACTTCAGTGTTGTTTTAATATGTACTACTTTATAAGTGTGAATATCTTTAATCTGTTTAATGACTATTTACATAAAATATATATTTGTGAATTATCTGTTTTTCCTCCTTTTTCTATTACATTTTAGTCCTTTGCTCAATTTAAAAAGTAGTTTTTTTCTTAATGTATCAGGGGTATTACCTCTTTGTCTGTGGTACATGTTGTAAATATTTTCTCCCAATTTGTCTCTTTCAGCTTTATTTATGATATTTTTTCTGTCATGCCACAAATTTTTAATTTTATGAAGTCAAATTTATCAACCTTTCTTTTATTGCATCTGAGTTTTGAGTCAGAGTTTAAAAGTCTTTTCCTACTCCAAGGTTAAATATGAATTCACCCATGTTTTCTTCCAATATTTGTATGGCTTAATTTTTTAACATTTAAATCCCTAATTTGGAATTTAGTCTTTCAATGGTTTGAAGTATGGGTCTAACCATATTTATTTTTTTCCAAATGGCTACCCACTAGTTACAGCATTGTTTATTTAAAAGTTCACTTTTGTCTCTGTGATTTGAGATGCTACTTTATCATATACTAAATTTGTATATGTACTTGAGTATATTTCTGGGCTTTCCTATTACTTTCCTACTGGTGTATCTGTCTGTTCATGGGATAATACAATACTATTTGAATTATAGACTTATGGTATATTTTAACGTCTGACAATGCTAATTCCTCCCTTGCAGTTTTTATTTATTTTTACATTTTTCCTGGCTATTTTTGAATGTTTGCTTTTCTTTATGGGATTTTTGCATAAACTTATCTAATTCCAAAATAAAGTTTTTTGGTATTTGTATTGGATTTTGCACAATTTATAAATTAACTTAGAATAATTCACTTTAGGACATTGAGTCATCACATCCAAAAATCAGAGTATCTTTCCATTTGTTCAAATCTTTGTGTCTTTCAAGAGAAGAATAAAGCTTTTTTTTTTTAATACTTTAAGTTCTGGGGTACATGTGCAGAACGTGCAGTTTTGTTACAGAGGTATACACATGCCATGGTGGTTTGCTGCACCCATCAACCCATCACCTACATTAGGTATTTCTCCTAATGCTCTCCCTCGCCTAGCCCCTCACGCCCTAACAGGCTCCGGTTCGTGATGTTCCCCTCCTTGTGTCCAGAGAAGTATAAAGTTTTATTCATGTATGCTTTGTACATTTCTTGAATTTATTTCTAGGTGTTTAATCTTCTTTGTCATAAATGAGTTTTCCTCTTCCATGATGTCCTCTAACTGGATACTGTTTCAAATATCTTTATCAGTCCTTTTCATGTATTATCTCATTTAATTTTCACAACAACCATGTGAGATACATTTTTCTCCAAATACACACAACTAGTAGTAGCTGCCAAAGCAGGAGTTCTAAGGCAGGCAATCTGATTTCGATGTGCTATACTGCCTACTTTCCACTATTACTTTGTTTAGGAGTTTATCTAGAAACCATGGGCAACAATCTAATATTATTGTAGTAGTGCAAAGGAACATCCAAAGGCAAGGGGTCAAATTTGCAAGTTTTAACATGAGAACTCTGACCATGTCCGGCAACTTAACTCCAGAAGAGAAGAGGTAATGTAAGGGGTAGTAGTATATGGCTCCTTCTTCTTGCCTCCACGTCTAGCTGCAGCTCTGAAAAAAAGGAGGAAGCAGAATAAAGATCACAACTCTCTGGGCACAGGAGAATACAGCATAATTTTTTGGGTTGGGAGGTGTTTGGGCCATGGGGGTGGATCCCTCATGAGTGGCTTGGTGCTGTCCTCATGGTAGTAAGTGAGTTCTCGCTCTATTAATTCCCATGAGAGCTGGTTGTTAAAAAGAGTCTGGCAACTCCCCCATCTCTTTTTTGCTTCTTCTCTCACCACGTGAGCTCTGCACACACTGGCTCCCCTTCATCTTCCACCATGAGTGGAAGCAGCCCGAGGCTTTCATCAGATGCCCAGTCTTCCAGCCAGCAGAATTGTGAGTTAAATAAATCTTTTTTCTTTATAAATTACCCAGCCTAAGGTATTCCTTTATAGTGAAACTAAATAGACTAACACTTCCCTAATGCTGGGGGGGTTAAGCTGTTCAGGATGGTATTTATGCTGCTCATCTCACTGCATCAAGTTAAGCACACAGACTGCTTAATGATGCTTGTATCTGTTTTTTGTTGTTGTTGGGTTTCTTTGCCTCAACAAAAATGCATTTCTCTTTTTGGTAGTAGGTTTTCAGAAGATAGTTTCCAACTTTGAGGAACACTTTCAACAGAGTCCTTGGTGATAGATTAAGCCCTTTGATATGATAGATTCCCTGTTTAGAAGACTATAAAAATAGACAACTACAATTACGACTGTCAAGGCAGTCAACCTTTCAGTCACGCAAACACCACTGCAATATTCTCGAAAACAAAATCTGTAATAGTATTCATTACAAATGGCAGCATAAAGTGAGCTCAGTTTGCCTGGGAGAAGCATAATATGGTTTTTATTTGTGCATTTATCTAAATGGGGAAAATGATCTTATCCCAGGTATAAAAATACTGAACAGTCAGCCCAGGCAATACCAGGAAAGCTGAAGAGAAGGTTGAAAGGAAAGAAGGTATAGAGAAGCAAAGTAAAAGGTCCCCCATTGTTGACATCTGTCCTCTTTACTTAATTGCCAGTATTAACTACAGACAAGGCTTTCAGTAATAGCAAAGAGTTAAAACAAGCCAGAAACAAAGAAAAGTAATTTAGAAGAGGGGATAAGAAGTCAGAGTTCCTCATGCAGTACTTTATCTTAGAGAAGAAAGCTTTTACCTATATTTAATAAGTTGGTGGGAGGCAAGAGAGTCAACATGGAACAAATTATATATTTTCATTTCATGTTTGTTTTTCAGTGATTTGAGACTTCTGGGATTTCAGCCTTTCATAGCAGTAACTCTGCTCAATATTATAGAATGTATCACCTTGGAAAAGCAATTGCAAAATGCTTCTTTGTATTCTCTTTGTGCACTGAGTGGGCTGGAATCATTCTCTTCAAACATTATTTACAACTCAATGTAATGAGCACACGTAGTCAGTAAGGCTTTTAAAACTTAATGAGAAATAGAAAACTTTAGGGGGTTATTTCTCAATATGCTCAGTGTCTACAACTAGGTCTGTGGTTTAAAAAGAGCACTCTGGCCTTAGCGTATATTTTATTTTCAGAACAATGGACTGAGAAACAAAGACATCCATCTTGTCTGGGACCTAATTAAGAAGGAGAAAACAAAGGAGGAAGGAAAGGAAGGAAAGAAAAGAATCATGAAAGGAAGAAGATAAAGCATAACCTGTTTTTTGTATTAGCGTTCTGCAAAATGGGGAAAATGATCTTATCCTAGGTATAAAAATATTGTGCAATCAGCCCAGGCAATATAGGGAAGCTGGAGGAAACAATGAGAGGGGAGAATGTACAGAGAAACAAGGTAGAAGGTCCTTTTCCCTGGATTATTCTTGTTTTGACTTTCAAATGAGGTGAGGAGGAGGGGAAGCTTTTCTGAGATGATTAATTGGGAGGCCAGAATTAAACTCACTACACGGACCGTGTTGAAGGAGAGGTGGAAACCCTACCTCTACTAATTTATTAAAGGAATAAAAGCACAAAATATCAAAAAGAACAATAAATTAGAAACCTGATGCTCCTCTTGGCTCCACAGTGCGTGGTCTCTATGGTCTTGACAATTTAATCAACCTCTCTAACAATCTGTCTCATGATCTTTGAAAGAAAACGTTTGGGGGAGAGGTCACTTCCACTCCTAAAATTTAAATATTAAATTCAGTTTCCTTAGAGGTATTGAAAGTTGGAATTTTTAAAACAGTGTGAAAGAGAAGAGAGATATTTGTGAATGTTAAGTACTTTTTATCTGATTATGCTTAGAAAACTCCACAAGTTTTATAATATGCTCACTGCCTTTGTTTTTTTCCATTTTCTTAGTCCTTAAATATATCTTTACTCACAAAGTAATGGATCATTCTCTTAATCCTTCAATTTCCGTTATTTCAGAGGCTTACATTATATTGGGAAAGATAGGGAATTGGAAAACAGGGCTAAAAACACACTGAAAAATCTCGGACTGTAGCAAATTAACTAATAGCATTTTATGTGTGTATTATAATCAACTAATTAATCACTTAGCTATTTTAATAATATGTAAAACATTGTTTACTTGTAATATTACTCTACAAGGAGTTTTCTCTTCCAGAATAATTCCAATATATGTTCACTAATAAGATACAGACTCATAAAATCCCATGATGAATAGTTATGCCATTCCATTCCTTATGCATCAGAAAGTATAGGATATTTTTGGTTCTACCTTTTGGGTTTAAATCTGTAATCCAACTATGTCCAAGATTTTATACTTTACCTCTTGTGATAAAGTATAACTTGAGTATAAGAGCCATGTTAAAAAAGTTTTTTGAACAGTGGAACAAAACCGAATAGAGCAAAATGTACACATATGAGGAATTCTATGCTGCTCAAAATTAATCTCTTGGTGATTTCTTAGAAGACAAAGATCCTGAGTAGCTTTAGAGTTTAGTGGCTTTGTTGCAGTTTCCTAAGCTCCACTTCCTCCTTGAATCCAAACCACAAGCCTCACAAAATTCCAGTAACAGCTTCAAGTGAAAGTTCAACATTTAATGATTGAAACTGTCAAAACTTTTAATGACACAGCTAACAGTAGAGTTGAAGAGAGCTGTCTCATAGGCTACCAAATTTTAGGGCTGAAAAGAAATAATTTAGCCCAATAATCTAATTATAGAGATGAGGAAACATGCCCAGGTGGTTTTTTTTCAAGGCCACAAAACTTATTAATGGTAGTGTTTTAGTTAGAAGGTTTTGTTTTGTTTTTCACTTTTATGTTCAGGATACATGTGCAAGTTTGCTACATAGGCAAACTTATAACATGGGAGTTTGTTGTATAGATTATTTCATCACCCAGGTATTAAGCCTAGTACCCATTAGTTATTTTTCCTGATCCTTTCCCTCCTCCCACACTCCATCCTCCCATAGGCCCCAGTGAGGGTTGTTCCCCTCTATGTGTCCATGTGTTCTCATCATTTAGCTCCTACTTATAAGTGAGAACATGTGGTATTTGACTTTCTGTAGAAGCCAAGTTTTTAAACTCCTAGTTTAGTCTACTTTTACCATACTTTTATTGCATGTGTGTAGCACTGCATGAGAAAAATCATAACTAAAGCAAGCTTTGTTCACTGGGGTAAAATCTCTTGCCTTTTGCATGTGTTTCCATGCAGAGGCATCCCATTTGAACAACACTCTTTGTCTTTTTCTGCTTCACTTCCTCATTCCCTTGGGAGGAGAAGGATCTAACTGATTGGTGAGTTTGGGAGCAGGAATTGCTGGTATTTCCCTCCCTTATATCAGGAGCCAGTATGTGCTCAGGCAAAGCAGGCTAGAGGTAAATGCTGTGCCCCTGCAGGTGAGGCCTGCTCTTCTCTAGAGCTGCCTATGCCAAGATAGTCAAGTTTCTTTTAGGCCATTTGGTCAACTGACTTCCAGCCTTTATGATTAATAAAGGTAATAATTTGACATCTCTTGCCATTTATCTCTAGCTCCACTTTGTTCCAACCTGCATGGGAAAAAGAAACTTACTAAGTTGCCTAAAATTCCAATTATTTTAACCTGGGATAGTCTAGACTTTCTTTCATCCTACAATATTTACTTTAAGACAATAATAAATAGAATCTTTTTAGAATTATTGTTTAAGGCACTACTCTATAAGCAATATGTGAGAACCAACTTTATATAAGACTTGGTCTCCAAAATAAAATAATTTGCTCTTTAATAAAGGAAAGAAGCTCTCTCTCCACTTAACACTCCCTTACCCCTTTCTATTCTGATGCTCTGACACTTTTCTGTCCAGCAGAGCTGGGTGTTATCCCAGCTATGCTAATTACCAGCTATGTGACCATGGCCAAATAACAACTTTTCTCTCAGCCCCAGAACCCACATCTGTAAGTGGGGATAATAATTGCAGTTGAGATAATTTTAATGCACTAAATTCTATAGGGGACAAATAATAATCTTTTATTCAACTTCCATGGACTGTTACTTGGAATTTTTCCCTGGTAGAAGAGGGGTGAAAGACAGGATATATTTTGTCTTTATAATTCTATGTCCTGTTTTTAGGCAAATGAAAGGAGGGCAGAGAGCTTTTCTGTATCAGCTTATTCTTAATTGCCTTTGGCTCAACAATCCTTCAGATTTTGGGGTGGCATATTCTGGTCTCCTACAAGCATACTATGGAATTTGACTTTATTAATAATATTATTTTAATATTATTGTTTTCATTAGATTCAATTGCTATTTCCTTAAATAGTCTTCAGCATTCCTTCCACTCTGCTTACATTGCACTTGATATATCACTTTTTTTGGCCGTAATTTTCACAGTACACTTTAACTGCTTACATATTTATGTTATCAATGGTCTGTGAGTTTCCCAGGAAGAGCAATTATTGCATCTTATATCTCTATATCCCAACTCCCAATTAGAGTTTGGCATGTAACATAAGCTCAGTAAATGTTTTATGAATGACTAAATTATGAGAAAATTTAATAAATGAATAAATTATAATTTAAGTAATTGTATGGAAAGGAATATATAAATGTTGTACATAAATGTTGTATGGGAGGGCTTATTTTCATATGGGTGGGCCAGGGAAGTTATTGTGGAGATGGGATGAGACATGTTTGAAACTTCACCAATGGGTTTTCTTAAAATTTTTGTTTTTTAAAAAGGATCAGAGAAACATGCTAGTCTAAAAGGAGGGCATATGCAAAGTCCAGAGTAACATGCAAGCCTAATCAGAACATGGGGTGCAAACTAGAATGGCTGGATCTTAGATATGATATTGGAAATATGTGGGAGATGAAGAGGTAAGTTAGGAACAAACCAGTGGGATTTACACACTCAAACAAGGAAATTATGCTTTATTTGGTTAAAAAAAAAGAAATCACTAACAGAATTGAACAGAAGAATCATGATATTGGGATTATGATTATTATCAGAATATTATTCTGGTGACAAAGTGTCAAATGGATTAGAGTGGCAGAATGTTGAATTAGTAATACAAATTTTGAAGAGGTACAAGCTTTAACTATAGGAGTTAAAATGAAAAGGAGAAGATGGATGAAATATATAGGATGGAAGAAAGAATGTAACCTTCCTCAAAACTCAATGAAAAGCAGATCTTGAAAATATCTCATTCCAACCGATTTGGTAGAAGAGTAACATGCAACTACTTCTGTCTAAGCTCTTAGACAAAAACCTTGGATAAGAGCTTGGTGACTATTAATAATCAGGCTTCCCTAAAATAAAGATATAATATTTTAAGTTGCCCTTAGCTCTTAGAAATCTATTTTTCTTTCATTAGCTATTTTATTAGATTGACATCTTTTTCATATCTTATGTTCACACATTTGCCCCTCTAGATTCCTGGGCTTAAACATGTGACTCCAGTATATGCCCTGCACACAGTTCTTCTGGTGAGTTACTAGTGCCCTTGCTGAGTATTTGTATTTATTCCTACTAAAGCCTTAAAGATCAGGACTTTTACCAAATACTCTTGAAGCCCTCTTATTTGCCTCATGCCCCTGCCTTTTTCCCTTAAACTAGAATTAACGTAGTGAAAAATAAAATAATATCCGAAATTTATGTGACATGTTTTCCCAAGAAGCTCACAGATCTTTTCCAGCTACATCCTGCTGAGAGGGGAAAAGGATGAAAACATCATCTCCACTTTGCATTTGTGAAAACAGAAGCAGAAAGGAAAAATTTGCTCCAAAGATTCATGGCAAATCTGCTGTAGAACCAGAAGGACAAAACAAAACAGCTTCTAGACTGTTGGACCACAGCTTATAGATTCAGTAAGAAGAGACGACGAAGATCATAACTGGGTTGCCTTAAGGGATGAAGAAGTCTCATTGCATTGACTGGGAAGTTATATCCTTGGAAGAAAAGGATCATGGTCATAAACATAGCAGGTATGAAAAATGAGCCTCTCCTTTGGAAATTCTCTAAAGGTAGCTGCTACCTTTCATCAAACAACAAACTCCCAGAATCAGATTTTCTCCTCAGTTTACAAAACAAGAACAAATTACTGTGTGTGTAACTCTGAAGGGCAACAATAATCCCATTGCAGTGGTTGTCTTCCTAAGATGATGTACACATAGAGGTGAATGCACTCATTATTACACTAAAATTTGTACATCATTTTCACGGGCTAGAATACAGAAAAAAAATTATACACTATCCCTTCTGACAGGAAAACATTATATCATGAATTTAGAAAATAACCTGGACAATTAATCATCTAAAATGTTGTCCTTTCCTTCAATTATGTGTTCAGCTCTAACAGAAAAAAAATATATTTACATAATCTGGATGATTACAATTTTATTGAACTCTTATATTTTCATTGTGCCATTATGATATTTAATTCCCAAACATGCAGATAGACACCAAAATGTAGACCATACTCCTCTGCACTCTATGAGTGCCCAATTCTTGCTGCAATATATTGCCTTCTAAGCTAAAGGGCTCTTAAAACATAAGAAAATGAAGAAATTAGAGAATCCGTAGACCGACCAATTGATATCTATATACTTTAGTAGACAGTGAACTTGAACAAATTATACCTGTAAACTATAGATGAAAAATATTACAGTTCTGGTTTTAACTTCCTATTGTTCTTCACTAAGAATTGAGGAAACTTTTGTTGAATGTGACTAAGAGAATTGCCTCAGTCCTGTCCTAGATTTCTCTCCTTTCCTTATCTAGTTACTAGTCATCTTCTGGGAATTCCATTCTCTTTTAATCCCATACTGGTTGGAAATGACTTTTCCTAATGTGAAGGCCACTGTTATTAATTGCAGGTATTATTCATTATCAGTCTAAAAGGACTCAAGGTCCATACTGGGACTGTACTTCTTTGGTTCCATCTATTTCTGTTATTGAGTTTCTATGATAATTTTCTTCCCTCCAGTATATTATGATAATGCATACATGTTATGTGAGATTGTCAACAACCTGTATTGGCCCGTAGAATTAGTCTCTGTCAGATTAACTCCAACAGACTTTGGGTCTGCCTTGTTGACTTTGAGGGACACAAATGAGTTTTATCAGGCTCTAGCTTCTGTCAGGAAGAATGAATTACTTTCTCCCAACCCATAAAGAAACAGGCCACTTCCCACACCTTCCTCATAACACCATCAGACAGAACCCGAGGCTACAGAAGCCTATGATTTAGTTAGCCTAAACCCATAAATATGTAGGCTGCATACATATACTTACTTTGGTTTTTGGTCAACCTCAAACATTTTATTTTGTTTATTAGGAAGATGTCTTTCCTCATTATATGATAACTATTATTTATACTAAACTAGTTTGAGAGAAACAATCAAGTGAACATGTGTGCAATTTGTTAAAAGAAATCATCCAAAAAGATAAACTTAGAGAAATGAGAATTTGAGCCCACACTCAATTTTTTGCCCTAAGGCTATTTTTCAACATTTTACATAAAAAATAATTCTCTGTTTTATGCTCACACATGGTAGACCAAATATTTGTATGAAGATCTTCACAGCAGCTTCTAGAACATATCTTCCGAAACCTTCAGAGAAATTGTTTTAATTTGTCTTGAATGGCTTAAGTGATGCCTTGCTGGAAATAAATTGCTATATTAGATGTCTAAAACCTTGTCTACTTATTATGGACAGTTATTTAAAAACTTGCATTATAGAATGTGCTTATGTGTTATAATGCAATACCAATTTCAGATCAAATCTATATGTTTAACATTGCTGCAAAACAAATTACTTCAAAAAATAATAAACATTTATTCAGTGTCTGTGGGTCAAGAAGGAATGGCTTAGCTAAGTGGTTCTGTCTTAGGGTATCTCATGAGGTTGTAGTCAGACTATCAGCTGAGGCCATCTACTCCTAAGATGGCTCACCCAAGTGGCTGGCAAGTTGACACTGGCAGTTAACAGGAGGCTTCAGTTCCTCACTACATAGACCTCTCTATAGGGATGCTTGAGTGTTTTCACTTCATAGTGCCTACTCCAGAGCAAGTGATATGTGAGAACATGGCAGAGGTATCAATGTTTTTAATTACCCAGTCTTGGAAGTTCATCACTTCTACTATATTGCATTGTACATAGAATGTAGAAGGGGATTATACAAAGGCATGTATTTTGGAGTCCGATAAATATATAGTTGACCCTTAAACAACACGGGTTTGAACTTTGAAGGTCTACTTATGTGCAGATTTTTTCACCAAAAGTTACTCCTAAGCGTGCCTCTCCTTCCACCTCCTCTTGCCTCTTCTGCCTCTGCCATCCCTGAGAAAGCAAGAGCAGCCCCTCCCCTTCCTCCTCTTCCTCAGTTTACTACTCAACATGAAGACAGTGAAGATGAAGACCTATATGATGACCTACTTCCACTTAATGAATAGTAAACATGTTTTCTCTTCCTTATGATTTTCTTAATAACATTTTATTTTCTCTAGCTTATGTTAATATAAGAATACAGTACATAACATTCAAAATATATATTAATTTACTGTTTATGTTATTGATAAGGCTTCAGTCAACAGTATGCTATTGGTAGTTCAGTTTTTGGGGAGTCAAAAGATATATGAGGATTTTCAATTGCACAGGAGTTGGCACCCCTAACCCCTACATTGTTCAACAGTCAACTCTCTCTATCTCTCTCTCTCTCTCACTCATATATATATATATATATATATATATATATATATATACACACACCATATATATGGGGTGTGTATATATGGTGTGTGTGTGTATATATATATACCATATATATGGTGTGTGTATATATATGGTGTGTGTGTGTGTGTGTGTGTGTATATATATATACGCCATATATATGGCATATATATAGTCAGCTCTTTGTTTCCATGGATCCCACATCCATGGATTCAACCAACCCTGGACCAAAAATACTAGAAAAATAATAGATGTTTGTGTTTGTACTGAAGAGGTACAGACTTTTTTCTTCTCATTATTTCCTAAACAATATAGTATAACAGCTACTTACATAGCACCTACACTGTATTAGGTATTATAAGTAATGGAGAGATAATTTAAACTATAAAGGAGGATGTGTGTAGATTATATGCAAATACTACACCATTTTATATGCCAATATTATGCCAAGTCCCTTATGGGACTTGAGCATTTGAGAATTTGAGTATCTGTGGGTAGTCCTGGAACCGAAAGTTCCAAAAAATTAAAGTTTTCAAATTAAAATTATTTAAAATATCATTTTAAAAAAGTTTCTGTCCTGTTTCACTTCACTTCCTTTGGCTAAATATAGCCATTATGTTTAAAATTAAGTCATTCTGTTTGTATTGTTTTTGTATATCATGATCACATGGTTAACTTTGCTAAAAGTATTTTAATTGTCTAGATTTGAGGCTGAAGTTTAATTCAAATGACCACATAATTTCAACCTGGAATACCATTTGTCAGTTTAATTCTTTCAGCCCTGATCTTCACTACATTAAATAAATGCTAGTGAACTAAGTAATTAATTCATGTTGCAAAGGTGACTTATTGACTTGCAAGGAGTAGCTTAGGAACCAGGAGATTTGGACTCAGTAAAGTATTTGCTTTGTGCTCTGTGCTAATATTTCTCATATAAATCACTTGCAAATATTGTTAAAATACAGATTCTGAGCCAGTAGACCTGGAATAAGCCCTGAGATTCTGCATTTCTAACAAGATCCAAGATTAATTCCACTGTTCCTTGGAGCACATGTTAAGTGGCAATGTTCCATGCAATAGAGGTTCCTTTGAGAGAATTTTTGTTATAACAATGTTGGCTTGTTATACAGAATTCAGAATACCTAGAGTTTCCTATCTTAGGTTAATATATGTAAATCATAATGAAAAAAATATTGTATACTTTCTAGAGGAAATCTCAACTACTCTCCCTTTCTTTCCAAATAAAATACCTTTTGTTAAAAGAAAGTGATTTCTTATTTCTAACCTCATCTATTTTTAAGAGAGAAGAAAGGCAATTTTATAGTGGTAGACGTGTCTTAGATCTTTAGTAACTATTTTTTAAACTATAAAATAATGTACATATTTAGATTTAACCCTTTTTCTTCTTCAGGCTGAAATATCATAGAATCTAATCATTGTAACATTCCTCCCATTATTCTATACTCATTCTTTGAATCTTGTGTCATTTCTGCCTCTTTTCCATGCCATGCCATGCCATGAGTTGGATTATTGTTGAGGCCATTTAGATATTTTCTAAATGTCTGAAATACTCCTTCCTTTCCTAATATCCTTTAATTCTCCCTACCTCCAACTTGGTCTTTATAAGCATAATTCTGTTTAGCGTTATTACTAGCAGAATATATTCTCTTTTAGAGAATTTTATTACCTTTAAACCCAATTATAGGTCACTTTTTGAAGACCTAGTGAGTTAGAATTCTTGATTGTAGGCAACAAAATCTGACTGCCTACCTAAGAGAAATAATTAAGTTTATTGAAAAGATTTGAGTAAATCAGAGGATCTGAGAGAGAGAAACAGTTTGGTCTTTATAATACTAACTGACTTTTAATTATCCCCATTACCATATGTCACCTGTTGAATAATCAGTGCTCTCAATTGGCAGACCTTAACTCATATATGTGTCCACATTGCATCATGGCAAAATGAAGATAAATGCTGCCCCCCAACCCCCACCCATCAAGACTACCTCCACTGGGGAAACCCCCCTGTAATAGAGAAATCAAGATGCTAATAGGAGGGGGGGGATCAATTTGATGTTGGATCAAAAAAAAAATGTAAAATATCCACTGTACTCGGAGTTTGTAGAGCCTAAAAATGGCAATTTAACCTTGCCATTGCTCTCAGGTTATGGTGGGTTTCCTCTGCACACTGGGAAAAAAACTAATATACAGCACTGACTTAAGATACCTTATTTCTCTCAGTGTGCTGCCACTCTGGGTTACACTTTCCCTGAGGACACAATAGGAAAATGAGTAGCTCAGACTAGAAAAGAAAGATGCTACAATCTGCTTTCCTCCCATAAGAATCTATTTTTACCAAAGAAGGTGATAATCTTCAAATCAACATTTGTATATATAAGTCATAGGATACATTACTATTTTGGAGAAATAGAATTGACTCAATGTTTAATAAAAATAGCTCTTTATAGGTAAGTGTTACTAATACTTGAGAAAAATATGGGGAAGAATTATATGGTGATTTTGAGACACTACCTGAATATCTATCGAAGTCTTAAACTAATTTGAAATATTGGCTTTTTGTCTCACATATTGCAATGAGCTTATCAAACTTGAGGTTAAGGGCATAGTCCTCTGTGAGACTACCCCCACTTCAGATACCAGCCACAAGTTTGGGAGTCCCCAAACCATGCTTATTTTTGACAAGCTAACTACAAATTTGGGAGTTCTCACTACCCCCTCAGGTTCAGTAATTGGCTAGGATAAATCACAGAATTCGGGAAAATGCTAAACATGTAACTACAATTTTGTTATAGCAAAAGGATATAAATCAGCACCAGCCAAAGGGACCAGCTACATAGAGCAAGGTCTGGAAGGCTTCCAAATGCAAAGCTTCTGTGTCCTTAGGAAGCATAGCTCTCCTGATGTATCAATGTTTGAAGCTCATTTAAGCTTCAGTGTCCAGGGTTTTTACTGGAGTTTCATTATGTAGGCAAAACTGATTAAATCATTGGCCATGTGGTTAAACTCAATCTTCAGTCTTCTTTCCCTTTCCAGAGGTTGGGATGATATCACATGGTTCAAAGTCCCAACCCTCTGTTGCGTATTTGAACTTTAGTCCCCCATCCTGAGTCACCCATAACTAACCACAGTTAGTATTAACTGTGGAGGAACTTACAAGGAGTCACCTCATTGGCATAAACTGTCCAGTGTGATCCTAGGGCCCACCATGGTAACAAAGACACCTCAATCACTTGGAAAATTGCAAAGGCTTACAGGTCACACCCCAGGAACCAGGAACAAAGGCCAGCTAAATTCTTTATTACACATGTCTATGACTAGTTTAACACTGTCACTATTTCTATGATTTAAACTACAGCTGAAATGCTCTGGAAGGGGAAAGAACTCCAGCAGAATAGTAGAACTGGTCTCTGGGACTCCTGCATGAAGCTTTTATTAACTATTAAGCCACGTATTTGACAACTCTTAATAATGGAGGAAAATTGCTAAAATTACCCCAAAATCACTCTCTATATATAATTGAACAAAAATAATGTCCTTTATAGTTTTCTTCAAAATAAGTATATGGATGGGAAATGCTACTTTCCTTCTTTAAAATTTAGATAATGAAGAACTAACATGAATGGTGGTAATTTGATGAAGAAGAAAAATCTAGAAACCAGCAATAGCCATCTTAGACAATGAAGACTAGTTAACAGGTTTTTCTGTTGTATGATGAAAAGTATCTCATATTGAAAATCTGTCATACTGTGGAGAGAGAAATTTGGTATAAGTTTCTGGTATAATAGCAAATATTTTAACCCTTTAATCTTTTTTAAATTCTGGAAGCAAGTCTAAAAGTGGTAGTTTTTGTTGTCCCCTAAAATAAATGTTTAATTTTCAAATTAACATTTTAGATCTAGTGCCAAATTCTCAGACCTGAAGGTTACTGTGAACTCTGAAAAGGTGTGTTCATTTTGTTGTAAAGTCACACTGTCACCTAGTGGTTTCTTACATATAAAATCTGATTTAAAAAGCAAATGGCTTATTTTGATATCATATTCTCCCACTTATCCAAAAGGACTATTTTGTCTTTATATCATGCGGCAGATGTTTTATATCTTTAAATTATTTATATGAGTTAGGATATCATTATAACTAACCCGTAAATCATTTTTATTGAAGCACATGGTTTCCTCTTTCCGACACATGCAGAGTAGGACAAAGAGTAAATAATGAAGAGTGGTTTCAATTACAGCAGATTATCTGGTAAATTTACTGGATTTTCCTAAGTTTTATCAGAGTAGTTGTATAAATCAACTTCAGTCATAGTGCCAAAATTTTCTATTTGCCTTAAAACACTCAATTAATGTGTAACTAACAACTGCTAAGTTCTCTTTTGTCATTCTTTGCTTTCAGTCCTCTTTCCCTTGCTCCTTCCTCCAAAGGGAATGAAAGCACTTTAAGTCCCTTTTACATAGTAGATTCATGATAGTTTTTCTGGTTATTGTTGGTGCACAAGAATCACAGGAAGTATAAAACATATGTTAAAAAGATGTAACTCAATATCTATGTGTTACAGTGGACTGGCCCCAGGCAAAGTTATGAGGTCAGTGAAGGTTGATGTTGGTGTCTTTCAGTTTAGCTGCAACTCAAGTGTGGTGCCCTAAAAGTTTCTTCAGCCACACAGCTGGAATTTTTTTTCACTGCAGTCTCCCTTTTTCCTTTCCCCCACTCTCAAGCACATGGAAGAGGACCTACACTACATTTCATTTTCTTATGGAAAAGGTGCTTAACTAGTTAAAGAACTAAGCAAAATGGGAAACTTACTAGAGAAATACTAGCAGAAACAACGCAGACTTTAACTGGGGACTTTGGGGAGCATAGCACAACCCACCCAATGGTAAATTGGCAGAACATAAGACTTCACTAAAACACAACCACAGGAAGTCTTGGCTAGTGCAATAAGGCAAGAGAAAGAAATAAAGGGCATCCAAATTGGAAAGGAAAAAGTTAAATTATCCTTGCTTACAAACAACATGATTTTATATTTAGAAAAACCTTTAAAATCCACCAAAAAACTATTGAAACTCATAAATTAGTTCAGTAAAGTTGCAGGATACAAAATCAACACACAAAAATCAGTAGCATTTATGTATACCAACAGTGAACAAATTGAAAAATCAAGAAAGCAATATATTTACAATAGTTACAAAAAATATAAAATACTTAGGAATTAATTTAACCAAAGAAGTGAAACATTTCTACAAGGAGAACTATAAAACACTGATGAAACATTATTGAAGAGAACACCAAAAAAAAAAAAAATGGAAAGATATCCTGTACCCATGAATTTCAATAATATTATTAAAATATCAATAATACCCAAAGTGATCTACAGATTTCATGAAATCCCTATCAAAATACCAATGACACTCTTCACAGAAACAGAAAACAACAATCCTAAAATTCATATGGAACCACAAAAGACCCCAGGAGACAAAGCAATCCTGAGCAAAAGAATGAAGCTGGAGGGATCATGCTATCTGACTTCAAAATATACTGTGAAATCATACTAATCAAAACAGCATATTACTGGCATAAAAGCAGATGCACAGACCAATGAAAAAGAATAGAGAACCCAGAAATAAATTCACACATTTACAGCCAACTAATTGACAAAAGTGTCAAGAACTTACACTGGGGGAAATGACAGTCTCTTCAGTAAATTGTGCTAGGAAAACTGAATAACAGTGTGCAGAAGAATAAAGCTAGAACCCTATCTCTCAGCAAATGCAAAAATCAAATCAAAATGTATTGAAGCCTTATATCTAAGACCAGAAACCTTCAAATTACTAGAAGAAAGCATTGGGGAAATGCTTCAGAATATTGGTCAGGCAAAGACTTTTTGTTTAAGACTTCACAAGCACAGGAAACAGAAGGGAAAATACACCAATGGGATTACATCAAGCTAAAAAGTTTCTGCACTACACAAGAAACAACAGAGTGAAAAGACAAACTACAGAATGGGAAAAGATATTTACAACCTACCTGTCTGACAAGGGACTAATAAACAGCATGTGTAAAGAAAATAGCAAAAAACCCACAAATTATCCAACTAAAAGATGGGCAAAAAGTCTGAATAGATATTTCTCAAAAGAAGGCATACAAATGGTCAACAGGCTTATGAAAAAATGCTTAACATCACTAATCAGGGAAATGCAAATCAAAGCAATAATCAGTCATTATCTTACCTCAGTTAAACTTTTTTATTAAAAATAATAAATAATGGATGCTGATGAGGATGTGGAGAAAGGGGAACCCTCATAAACTGTTGGTGAGAATGTAAATTAGGACAACTACAATGAAGAACACTATAGGTCAGGCAGGTGGCTCACGCCTGTAATCCCAGCACTTTGGCAGGCCAAGGCTGGGGGATCACTTGAGGTCAGGAGTTTGAGACCAGCCTGGCCAACATGGTAAAATTCTGTCTCTACTAAAAATATAAAAATCAGCCAGGCATAGTGGCGGACACCTGTAATCCCAGCTACATAGGAGACAGAGGCAGGAGAATTGCTTGAACCCAGGAGGCAGAGGTTGCAGTGAGCTGAGATCACACCACTGCACTCCAGCCTGGGCGATAGAGTGAGATTCTGTCAAAAAAAAAAAAAAAAAAAAAAAAAAAAAAACACAACCGGATGGAGATTCCTCAAAAAATTACAAATAGAACTACTGTGTGATCCCACAATTCCACTGCCTCCACTGCCAGGTATATATCCCCCAAAAGGAAATCTACATATTGAAGAAATATCTGCACCCCCATTTTCAGTGCAGAACAATTCACAAAAGTCAAGATGTGGAATCAACCTGTGTTCGTCAACAGATACATGAATAAAGAAAATATGGTACATATACACAATGGAATATTATTCAGCTGTAAAAAAGAATAAAATCCTATCATTTGCAGTGACATTGATGGAATGGGAGGACATCGTGTTAAGTGAAATAAAATAATCCAGGCACAGAAACACAAGTACCGCATGTTCTCACTTATATGAGAGAACTAAAAATGGATCTCATGAAGATAGAGAGTAGACTGGTGGTTACCAGAGGCTGGAAAGAGTAGGTAGGGTGAAGTGAATGAAGGCACACTAGTTAACAGATACAAAAATACAGTTAGATAGAAGAAATAAAATTTAGTGTTCAGTAGTAGTGATTGTAGTTAATGTGTAGTTCAAAATAGCTAGAAGAGAAGAATTGGAATGTTCCCAACATAAGAAACAAACGTTTGAGGTGATTGATATCCTAGTTACTCTGATTTGATCATTACCCATTGTATGCATGTATCAAAATATCACATGTACCTCCAAAACATGTATAACTATTATGTATCAGTGAAAAAAATATACAACCAGAGTTGTTTCATGGTTATCAGTCCTTGTTTATAAACATTGTGATTATTTCATTGTTATAATTTCACAGTTTCTACTTCCTCCTCTGTAAACTTCTACATAAAAAGTTGGTTTGAATTTACAGGATATTAAAAAATAGTAAGTTATGAAAAAATCAAAAGAAATGAGAGTTCTTTCAAGATCACGATACATAATTATATAAAAAAGTGGTCTTTAGCTAAGTATCACAGCCCTAGCCTCAGTGAATAACTAAAATTAGTATTTTTCTACAAATGGACCAGGCATCTTTTCTCACTTTTGATAATTTTTACCAAGCCCACAAGAAAAGACTATTTCTTTTGAGTTTCATTCAGAAAAGGAAATGCTGCATTCTATTTTTAATGTCAACTAGAAAACTTAAATATTTTTTGGATTTAAAATAATCCAGGAAACATCTGTGAAGGTCTTTGTCATACAATACTTGTCATTTTAAAGTAACATGTAGAACTTCTGAGCTTATAGGGATAATTAGACCATACCTTATTAGTAAATTCTAAACCAACGTAAATAATAGGTCACCAGGATATATACCTATAACTTGTTTAATATTAATGGAAATTTGTCTACAGGATTATTGTCTAAGGATTTGGTGTATTAATATACATCTGTCTGATAATTAGGAAGAAACTCTTCATGTAACTAAACAATTGTGAAACCTATCAATAGCTAACTGAGAGCAAACAATGGGGTTCATAAACTTGCCAGTAATGTTTATGTTATTAAACTTTATGGCACTCTAGAAAAAATTCACAGTTGTGGAGAACGTGATACATACAACATGTGATGGCTTAGAAGCCATTGATTTCAGAATTCCATGGTATCTGGTACAAACCTATAAATATATTAAAAGTTCAACCAATTCTGATTTCAGATCAAGATGTGAAGAAAGAGATGTATGTTTTAGGATTCAGAACCCTCTAGAAAAAAAATAGTTCAATATGAATATGAGTTAACTAAATGTATATCAAGCTAGCATTTAAAAAGCGCCATTATTTATGAAGAAAGTACATTTTTGCATGGAAAAGGTCCTAACTGTAAACCATGGACAGCAGAGAAGATATAAGACAAAAAACATGGAATTTGCCAATTGGTTACAGAAATATTCCTCCTATAATAGCTATAAGAAGAGATACCTGTAAAAATGAGTATTTGTTGTTGGATGCACTTTGGGGAGACTTGTAGCAGATATAGAATTGCTATAAATATTTATAGAGTACCACCATACATGCAGAAGAACAGTGATACATTTTCTATCATTTATTTTTATTTTGTCTTTTTGATCTTATATAACAAATATATACATACACATACCTAAATACATACACAACAAACATATACACACATACATGTAAATATACCTACCTACCTATATACATATGTACACACACAGACATAATGTCTGTGTGTGTGACACACACTCACACCTATATAGTTTTCTCCAATTGCCATGCACTGTTCTAAATGTTTTACAAATACTAACGCACTTAAGACAATTATATTCACTTAAATAATGTACCACATATAATTACTACAAAAAAAATTGTTTTTGAGATAGAGCCTCACTCTGTTGCCCAAGCTGGGGAGCAGTGGCACAATCACAACTCACTGCACCCTTGAACTCCCAGGCTCACTTAATCCCCCAACCTCAGTCTCCTGAGTGGCTGGGGCTACAGGCGTGTGCCGCCATGCCCAGTAAGTTTTGGTAATTTCCGTAGAGGCAGGATTTCACTATGTTGCCTAGGCTTCAAAATTTTATCAAAAGAACTTTAGTGCTCTGCCTCTGAATATTACAGAGTGCAGGTTGGGTTATCAGTGTCATGATTATGATTAACATTATGGAAGTCTTAATGTAAATCATGCCCTTTGTCGAGTACTTAATCTCTGGATCAGTCAAGATCCAATCAAAAACCACAACAATTATTTTAACAACAAAAAAATTTAATGTAAATAATTTTGAACTATCTTTTAAAAACTGAAAGCCAGACAGTAAAACAATAAAGTATCATGAAAATAGAAACTGCAGGAAGCAGCTACCATCCTTAGGGAACAAACGAAAAATGTAGGAATTACTAAAACTTTGTTGTTTGGTGGAGAAACCTCGCAGAGCTCAGACCTCTGAGTGCTACCAGCTGGTGCTAGCATCTCTAAGGGGCACCATCAGGCTGACTCTTTGATGTGTTAGAGAACGAAAACCTGGACTTGCTGCTACCAGGGTGAAGAAGTGTGGCTGATGTGATGCTCACAGGAGCTGGAAAAAATAAAAGAGCAAGACAGCATGAAGCTGGCAGGGAAAAGTCCCTCATTTCTCCTTTAGCCTCCCAGGCTCTCTCTAGTGCCCCTTACACAGATTGTCTAGCAAATGAAAAGCAGTTTCAAAAATCCCAGCCCCACAATCCCAAAGCTAAGAGGAGTGGATTTGAGACTGAGAGACCATTATCTTCATAACTGGTATAGTGTCTTTTAACATAAAAGATCCTTCACCCCAACTTAACGGTAAATCCTTAAGTTACATTTACCTTAAGGGTAAATTTAAATCCATGTGCTCTAATTCATTTCTCTGAGAAAGAACAAAGAGTCTCCTTAATATCATCACTCTAATCCTTGGAAACATTAAGGTGTTGTTGACATCTTACCTGGTGCTCTCTGTATCACTTGCACAGCATATATTATGCTCTTAACAAATATTAGTTGAATGAATGTGTAAAAGTATATTCTCAGCATAACTCTGACTTCTGAATTCTCTTTAAACAATGCATTTTTCATCCCCTTTATCACTGGACTAGGATATAAATATTTATACTGTAAAAACTATAGCACCACAGAAATATGACTTCACAATTTCAGAAGCTCTGATGTTTCTTAAGACAGTTAATATAGATTTTGCATGTTTCTCTCAAACTACAGAGGGAATGAGGAAATAAAATAGAATTCCTTTGATTTCCTCTAAGGTTGAATCTTCCTTCCCAAAATCCCAATGATGCATCAGGCTACTCTTCGGATTCTCCGTATCACATGAAAGATACAGGTGAGCCATTCAGCTTTTGTATAAAAGAAATAAGAGATGATCTTATCTTATTTTGGGCCTCAGTCACCTCAATTTACCCTCAATCTCTCTTGGGTGCTGTAGTATCTTCCAGGCATAAAGTGTTCAATCGTATGCAGTAAATAAATTATTTTAGAGATAGTCCTATTAAAGTATGTTTAAAAAAATAAGATTTATGTTTACAAAATTCATTCACTTTACATAGTTACATGTTTAGTTTTGTTTATGGCAATTCAATATGTTGTCACTAAATATTTTTTTTCAAAATCAGATAACATAAACTTAAATATGATAGAAGAGGAGAGAATTGATTCATTGAAACAGTGGCCTTCAAAACTCCTTTTTCTCAAAAAAAAAATATTTGAAGGGGTGATGTAAAACCTTTTGTTTTTCTTATGACAGCATTCCAAGTCTTTCTCAAATATATTCGAGGACTTTATTTTGTAGACACTTTAGAAGTTGGATTTTTTTCAAGAAACATCTGTAAATATTAGAAAAACAGTTCAAATCTTAAGAACAAGATGTATAAACAAGTTGTATAAACACATTTTAGTGCATTATGTGGTCAACCCAATATTTAATCATGGTTATCCATTATGTTTTATAAAACATGTTACACTGTTTTTCCTGACATTAATTGCATTATTAAGATATTATGGAAGGATGTATTTGTTATTTGTTTATGACTTTCTTTGTCATTCATCAAAAGTATGCTATTGTACCATGAAGAGCAATCTCTGCTGACCAGGCTGTTTACAAGTATCAGAAGAAATGCAATGTCAGGCTTTTGGTACTATAATTCCATGGGCAGTCTCTTGATTTTCCACATAAAATAGATCTACTTTATACAAGGCACTTTTCTCTTAGAATTTTTTTTAAGTTTAGTTTTAAAATCTAAAGCTAATTCTAAATAAATGCTGTCCTGTGCACTGTAAGATTTAGTAATATCTGTGGCCTTTTCGTACTAGATGACAGTTGCACCCCACCAAACTTGGACACTAAAATTATCTCCCAAGGAGCAAAACTGCCCCCAGTTGAGAACCACTGCTTTGGAACTTGACTGTTTCCCTTCCATTCTTTCTGTTTTTCTTGTCTCCTCTTTTGGGGCCCATTATAAAATATAGGGTTGAAATGTTCCTCTTTCTAAATTACTTATTGGGCTGCTTATTCTGGAAGATTGACCTAGGGTTAATCACAAGGCAAGACCTGGTTTAGAATCAGTGAGATGACCCTTACTGGAAATGATGATTGCATGGTAATTTTAAGTATGCTAGCTTTTTATGTGAGGGTGATACTAAGGATGTACTGTACTACAAACATATGATACTGAAAGGTGTTTATGTGAAAGTAGTCATAGGGTGAACTAAATTTTACAGGAAGATTTAATGTAATTTGAGCTAAAGCTTTAGGAGAGAATGTTAGAAGGATCACTGGACACAGGAACTGAGTCATTTAATAAGAAACATTTCCAATATTCTAGATCATCCAAATTATATAACTAAGAAAAAAATATATATATTTCTCATCATATAAAAATAAACTGTTATGACTAGCAAAATAAAATTTATTGCTATAATTATAATTACTACAATTATACTAAAAAGATACACAATCTTTAATAACCATAAGCTCATTAATCCTCATATTAATATGTAATAGTTGCTCATCACAACTGTTACCCAACCTTGAAAATGGAACTTATAGATCTTTTATTTTGTCCACGTATAAGACAAATTTAAACTCTAAAAGCAATTTATTTGTTGCAGTTAACAAAGACTTGTGATTTCTACTGGAAAAGAAAGGAAAACAAATTTTTGGAAGTGCTAACTTAAATTAGTGTGTTTTTATTATTTTTCTTGTTTTTATGTCTGTCTTCATAACCAAACATTTCTAATGAAAGGGCTACAACTTTCAATCAATTAATAATCTGAATTATAAATCAGGAAAAAGTCGCAGACAACATGTAACTGAAATTCATCAAAGCATAAGATAAGATAGCACATAATATATTGTCAGAATATTTTTTAAAATATTAGTCATTTACACATGTATATATATCATTATTTATCCAAACCTATAAAATGTGCAACATCAAAAGTGAATCCTAATGTTAAACTATGAACTTTTCGTGATAATAATGTGTCAGTACAGGTTTATCAGTTGTACTATTCTAGTGGGGGATGGTGATATTGGAAATAGCTACGCATGAGTAGGGGCAGGGGATAGATGAGAAATCTCTGTACCTCCCTGTCAATCTTGTTGTCAATCTAAAACTGCTCAAAAATTTAAAAACATTCTTTAAAAATCTGTAATTTATATTATTAACTGTTGAAACTATTATGACTAAAGATTCTGGTTATTTAAAATTGATAATAATTGTGAAACAATGATCAGATATTATATGACAAGACACCATATCTACACTTGTCCTATTTAACATTTATATCAATAACTTAGATGAAGCAAATGCTTGGGGCATGCTTTGCAAATGTGACGACAACAGTAAAAAGCCAGAAAGGACAGCAAATACAGTGATGTTAAAATCTGAATCCAAAAGGATAGTAGAAGACATGAAACAAGGAAAGCTCACAATGAAATTTGACAGATTATTACAGGTCTTGCACTACAATCCGAAGGCACAACTTTGGATCAAAGACAAATGGAGAAAATTGGTTTAGAGGCAGCCTGTATGAGAAAGAATTACAGGATTAGTTGAATTCAAATTCAGTGTGACTCAACAATGAGATTTGTTTGCCAAGGAACTAATGTGATCTAAAGGTATATTAACTTCTATTGTTCCTGATATTTTATGTCTAGATATTCTGATAGCTAGAATGGCATTAGGGATAGTATTTCTTTACTTTGAATTGGTTAGATCTTACCAGGATGATTTTTGAAAGATAGGAGAATGGTAAAGTGAACTTCACTTCATGTCATTTGAGCAGTGGTTGAGGAAACCTATCATGCCTGGAGAAATATAATTGCTCCCCTCAGATATTTAAGGAGCTATTATATGGAAGATGAATTTTGTTTTTTTTTCTATATAAGTAACTCTCAAAGTTAGGCCTGCTAGCTACAAGTTATTTTACCTGATTGTAGTCTAATTTCCTGCTCAACAGACTACAAACCTAGACTTTCCAAGCAAATGAAAATCTAAACAAATACTAACAGAAAATTGGTATAACTCTTTCACTTTTATTCATCTTAAAAGTGTTGTTACCTTTTACAGAAAACCTTTAGGAATGTGCTAAAATCGTTTACAGTACTTATTAAACTTTCTTCTGCCTCTAACTCTGTGCATAGGATTCTGTTATAGACCAAACTTCATTACCTCAAAGTAAAATACCAGTTACTACTGCTGATACAGTAGGTGTACCTTAGAACTGTTGAGTCTCAGAGTTGTTAAGAATGGACTATTGATGAATCAGATAACAGATTTTGGTGGAGATAAAGCTAAAGTTTTTTCTTGCCTTTTTATTTCCATCTTAACTTTAATATAACTTTGGAAGGAGTAGGTCCTTTTTCTCTCTAATAGATAATAGAAAAACACCATTATCTACAAAACATATGACATTTTTTCATTAGGGAATTTATATTGTTATTTTAATACAAACAGTGAGAAGAGCTATAGGTCAATTGTTCCACAATTAATGCCATCATTTTGGGTAGGCACATCTCAGCTTTTAACTGCTTTATAGCTGAATAATTCGATACAACAAATCACCTTAATGTCACCTATAGGTACATTTAGAAATCAGTGTATTTTTTAATTGTGGTAAGGATATTTAATATGAGATTTGTCCTCTTAACAAATTTTAGGTGTACAATATATTATCGTTGATTCCAAGTAAATATTGTATGACAGATCTCCAAAGCTTATTCATCTTATTTAACTGAAATTTTGTGCCTGTTGATTAATAACTCATTTCTCTCTCCCTCTGTAGTTCTTGGTAACAACCATTCCAGTCCTTGATGTTATTAATTTCACTATTTTGGAAGGAATTGAAACTCTATCACCCCCCTCCCCTTTCCCTCCAATAGTAAGGCTTTCACTGTTTGTTTTTATTGGGAAGTGAGTTATTTCTTTTGTCCTGGTTTTCCATATTCTATGACATTCATTTATAAGACTAAATTACAAATTCTATTAAAGAAAAGATGAATTAACTTTATCAATTCATCTTTGTCTCCTCCATGATGTTTTTCAAAAGGTAACTATTCATGATACATATTTACTGAGTAAAGAGAGTTCTAATTTAAATAATTGGTAACAAGAAAAATGCTTAACCATAATTTTGGATGGGAACTTAAGGTTTATTCCCCAAAGAACAACTTATTATCACATAAAATTGATAAGACAAAACAATAAGTTCCTCAAATCCAAATGACAGGTAAATGTTTGGTTTCTTGGAAAGAATGGAATCAAGAAATTGATCAGATGATATCTGTCCATAGTTAATCATTTATCTAGGGTACATTGTCCACCTTGGTCCACTTAAATTGTATTTTGTGAATGATTTTAGGCTAACAACTGGAAAGGGAAGTCTAAAATTACTTTTGTTAGCCAGACCCCATCAACCCTGAGCAGATCTTTCTGCTGTAGCTATTACCAAATGGTTTATACATAGAACACTCAAAAGAGATTTATTTTTCATCTGGAGCTTAGAGAAATATACAATAGAGCAACAAATGACAAATGCCATAATTGCTTAGGGGTATTATCATTCCTAGTGCAAGAGATCAAATCTGGAAGCTTAAAATAAACTAAGCATTCATTCACTTTGCTAAAGAGCATGAACCAAGTAATTGCTTACTTTTTTCAGAGTTCAGTGGAAAGTCAACTGTTAGAACAAAGTGATTTCAGCTTTGTCACTGAACAATAAATGTGCTCAATGAAGCTTGACTGGTTGTGTTTTTCTTTTTTTTGCCATCCTGCATAAAACAAAGATCAACTTCAGAGCACAAGTGGCATTTGGCACTAAGTTGGCACTGTTGCAAAGTGGAATTTTTTCTGTCTACTTTGACAGGAAAATTTTTTTTAATGGCTGTTCTCTTCACTGGTTATCAATGCCCTTAAAGTCAAAAGGTGTGAGTTTTAAATGTATGTTCACCACTTTCAGGTTATGGAACATTGAAAACAACACTTGTCCCTCTGTGCCACACCTGAGGAAAGTAAGGAGAATGATATTTGTGTTGTCTGTCTCAAAACGTGTTTAGGTAGAACACGTCCATTCATATAAAGGAAACTGGTAAATCAGCAAATCATGATTGTAAATGTTAATAACCAAATTCTCTATAAATATACTTGGGGAAAGAGTCATAAGGAAATAAGAGCTAATATGCATTTGAATTCCTACTATGTGTCAAAATCATCTTTGAATATCACTGAGGTAACCATTGCATATAATTTGCCTACTTCCCTAAATTTCTTTTTGTTGTTGTTGTTATATCATTAACAAATACTTATTGAGCAACTACTCTGAGCAAAGTATTGTGGTTTGGCCCTCTGTGCAACCAGTGCTATACAATGTACATATTAAAAATTCCCTAAATTTCTGAAGGGAATTACAATCTTATTTTAAAATCAGATGACATTGAAAAATTCAAGTTACATTACCACCATATATATGGTGGACATGTAATGCCTTTGCTGGTGGACTCCCTGCCTGCATGGTCAATGGAAAATGCTAATGGAAGGAAGAAGACTCCACAGCAGGAATGGTGTAACCACTGTCAGATGTTGTTATATAGCGGACAAGTGCAGACAGCCTAATGCAAGCATGCCTAGGTGCAACCCTCGCCCTGCTCCTTATTAGCTTGGTGATGTTAGACAACATACCACCCTGTGCTCATTCTTCAATTTTTAATAAATACTACTTTTCTTATGGAGTAGTTATAAGAATTAAATGATTAAATGGCAATAGTAAGCACTTTAGGAAAGAAAGCAAGTGAAGTATTTTTATTAGTAGAGTTGCATGAAAATATAATTTCTTAAGAAATATTACAGAATCTTCTTTCAGAATAAAATAAGACAAAAATAAAGGGATCTATCACACCTGAAATTATAATAGTAAAGTTTACCCTTAAGACTCTACATAAAATTATTTGTACGTATGGTTAGTATATCAGTAAGTGGCTATTTTCTGGGAAATTTCCAGTTATTTATCATGCTGATTTCCTTTGTTTCAAAGCATGTGAGTAAATCATTCTTTGAATTTCTACACACCTTTCTCTTAAAGTTCTTAAAATTTTTTTAAACAAGCTCATTTATTCCCAACACATTGCTCACCAAATATAACTACCCACCCGTCCCCAAATCTTAACAGGGTTTCTTCTAAATGTCATCTACATTAATGCCATTTTACACTTCTCTTTCTTTTTTTTTTTTTTTTTTTTTTGAGACTGAGTCTAGCTCTGTCGCCCAGGCTGGAGTGCAGTGGCGCGATCTCCGCTCACTGCAAGCTCAGCCTCCCGGGTTCACGCCATTCTCCTGCCTCAGCCTCCCAAGTAGCTGGGACTACAGGCGCCCGCCACTACGCCCGGCTAATTTTTTGTATTTTTAGTGGAGACAGGGTTTCACCGTGTTAGCCAGGATGGTCTTGTTCTCCTGACCTCGTGATCTGCCCTCCTCGGCCTCCCAAAGTGCTGGGATTACAGGCGTGAGCCACCGCGCCTGGCCTACGCTTCTCTTTCTATGTAAAGTCATACATCACACAGTACATAGAAACATGAGGTAACAACTTCTAGTTACTGCTTTTCACCATCAAGTAAGGCTGGAAATGCAATTATTAGGTTGGGGCAAATGTAATTGCGGTTTTTGCATTTAAAAGTATTTGCGGCCGGGCACGGTGGCTCACGTCTGTAATCCCAGCACTTTGGGAGGCCGAGGCGGGCGGATCACCTGAGGTCGCAGTTTGAGACCAGCCTGACCAACATGGAGAAACCCCATCTCTACTGAAAATACAAACATAACCGGGCGTGGTGGCGCATGCCTGTAATCCCAGCTACTCAGGAGGCTGAGGCAGGAGAATCACTTGAACCTGGGAGGCAGAGGTTGCGGTGAGCCAAGATCGTGCCATTGCACTCCAGCCTGGGCAACAAGAGCAAAACTCCGTCTCAAAAAAAAAAAAAAAAAAAGTGTTTGCAAAAACCGCAATTACTTTAACACCAGCCTAATACAATGCTCAAAGAATGTGTTAGCCAAAGGAGTGCCCAGGATTTTACTAGAAACCTGTGACTAGACATTAGTTCCCCCCCCCCAGGAAGGTCATCTTTGACATGATACCAAAATGGAACATTATGGTTAAGAAATCAAATTCCCTGGTTATTAGAGAATTAAAACAAAAGAAAATATGAGTGACTAATTTTTAAAGTTAAAATAAAAACATACTTCACAGAAAAATTCTACTGAAAGTGCATAAATTTTTAATTTGATATTCAGAGGACACTGGCATCTTTTAGTGGCAAGAGTCACAGTTGTGTATAACTATTGTCAAAAAATCAGCAAAGAGTACAAAGTCTTTGTCTTATTCACACATGAAGTCTTGGAATGGAAGGGGGATTTTTCTCCTGTTCTCAATTGAAGTCATGGTTTTGTGTTCACAGTGGTATCATGCACCTTCTTTGGAAACTGAGATTTAAGCTGAAGTTTGAGAGATGATTAAGGACTATAAGATTAGTAATCTCTGATGAGGAGACACCTAATGTGGATCTCTGTATCACATCCTCTTGCTCTCCATGAGCACTGCCAGTTTCTTGGTTTGGGTGCTCTTCATCTCTCATTTGGACTTTTTTTTCAAAGTCTTCTAAGCAATTTATTTGCCTCCAGTGATGTTCAGTCTCTGTCTATCTTCTAATTGTCATGAAAATTATTCTGAAATGCAAAAGATATTAATATCTATGCTTTAGAAAGAGCTTTTACAGATTAATTAAAAACTCTATAGGATAATAGGCAAATAATATTAATAGGAAACTGACAGATGAGTAATCCAAATAACCAATGCATATATATACAAAATGATGCCCAATTCTAGTAGCAGTGAGGGGAAAAAAAGCAAATTAAAGGAATGTTAGGATCCATTTATCCCTTATAAGATTCACAAAAAGTGAAAAGAATGATACCTATAGGCTACAATCATAAGAGGAAAAGGTACTGTCATACATTTCTACTACAATACGAATTGCTGCAACCATTTCTAAAAAGAAATTTAGCGATATCTATTCAAATTAAAAGTGAACTTACAATTTAACACATAATTCCCTCTCTTAAGAATCTTGTCTATGAATTACCACTGATGAATAAAGATATATTTACAAGGAAGTTTGCTACGCCATAGTTACTAGTTTCAAAAACTAAAAACACATTAAATTCCCATCAATAGAGAAATGGTTGAATAATTTGTAGTACATTTATACTATAAGATATACAGCCATTAAAAAGGCTGAGTTGTCTTTATACTAGTTGAACTGGAGGAATTTTTACAATATGTTGCTCAGTGGGAAAAGCTAAATGAAGAAAGAAGTATATGACTGATTTTTCTCAAATAATGGCAAAAATATCACATATACATGATTATTGATGTGTAACCACATGTTAATATTATTTATATGGGACTTAGAAAAAGAAATGGATGAGTAAGTAGGAAGAGAAAATAAGTGTTTACATAATAGAAATAGAATATATGATTCAGTTTATGTACAATGTAGTATGTGCACATTTCACATCTATGAGTGTATATAATGTGATGCACTAAAAGATAGTCATCAAATTAATGGTGGTATCTCAAGCTGTTGGGATTTTAGGACACTTTAAAACTTTTTACTTTCTATACCTTTTGTTTTTATAATTTTTCTATGTTTTAAATTTTACACAATGAATGCGTACTATTTATATCATTTGGAAAAAAATAAATTCTGCCTTTGAATAAAAGTACACATCTTATTACTTCTTAATAAGTACTGCTTAAACCCAAATAATTCCCCATGACCTATAAAATCCAACCCATAGAATGAAGCAGAAGTTTTTTTGTGATCTGATCCTGACTTGTTTAAAGTTTATTTCTTTTTTTTCTTTTTTTTTTTTTTAGTTTTAAAAGATACGATTTTATTGTTGTTTACTTCATTTTTTTTAACTTTTATCTAAACTTCAGGAGCACATGTGCAGGTTTGTTACATAGGTAAACTTGTGTGATGGGGGTTTGTTTTTTTTTATTATTTAAGTTTTACGGTACATGTGCACAATGTGCAGGTTTGTTACATATGTATACATGTGCCATGTTGGTGTGCTGCACCCATTAACTCGTCATTTAACGTTACGTATATCTCCTAATGCTATCCCTCCCCCCTCCCCCCACCCCACAACAGGCCCTGGTGTGTGATGTTCCCCTTCCTGTGTCCATGTGTTCTCATTGTTCAATTCCCACCTATGAGTGAGAACATGCGGTGTTTGGTTTTTTGTCTTTGCGATAGTTTGCTGAGAATGATGGTTTCCAGCTTCATCCATGTCCCTACAAAGGACATGAACTCATCAATTTTTATGGCTGCATAGTAATCCATGGTGTATATGTGCCAAATTTTCTTGATCTAGACTATCATTGTTGGACATTTGGGTTGGTTCCAAGTCTTTGCTAATGTGAATAGTGCTGCAATAAACATACGTGTGCATGTGTCTTTATAGCAGCATGATTTGTAATCCTTTGGGTATATACCCAGTAATGGGATGGCTGGGTCAAATGGTATTTCTAGTTCTAGATCCCTGAGGAATTGCCACACTGACTTCCACAATGGTTGAACTAGTTTACAGTCCCACCAACAGTGTAAAAGTGTTCCTATTTCTCCACATCCTCTCCAGCACCTGTTGTTTCCTGACTTTTTAATGATCGCCATTCTAACTGGTGTGAGATGATATGTCATTGTGGTTTTGATTTGCATTTCTCTGATGGCCAGTGATGATGAACAAAAATTAATTCAAGATGGATTAACAACTTAAATGTTAGACCTAAAACCATAAAAACCCTAGAAGAAAACCTAGGCAATACCATTCAGGACATAGGAATGGGCAAGGACTTCATGTCTAAAACACCAAAAGCAATGGCAACAAAAGCCAAAATTGACAAATGGGATCTAATTAAACTAAAGAGCTTCTGCACAGCAAAAGAAACTACCATCAGAGTGAACAGGCAACCTACAGAATGGGAGAAAATTTTTGCAATCTACTCATCTGACAAAGGGCTAATATCCAGAATCTCCAATGAACTCAAACAAATTTACAAGAAAAAAACAAACAACCCCATCAAAAAGTGGGCGAAGAATATGAACAGACACTTCTCAAAAGAAGACATTTATGCAGCCAAAAGACACATGAAAAAAGTTTATTTCTAATTATTGCCCAGTGATTTTGAATCATAGGCAATCTTCTGAATACCCCATGGTGTTTCAGTCATCCAATCTTTGAACTCTTTGTTTTCTCTACAATGCACTTTATACTTAACCTACCTGCCTGTAAATGACTTCATATTTATACTGCAAATTTCAACTTAGGTGTTTACCCATCAAATATATCATCAGCAGCATCCCTCCAAATTTCCCACTAATTAGTCAGCAAATGTTAACTGAACACCTATGTACCTAGCATTATGTTATTTAAGAATAAGTAATACCAATACTTACTTTTAAAAAACATCCTGATTGCTTAAAAAACATTCTGTTTAGGGGTGATAGTCTAGTAAGGTGATAATGACAGCTTAACTGGGTAAGTGTAGTGATTAAAGGTGCATTATAGGGCCTGAGGGAGAGAAGGGGATCTACGTTGGTGAAGGAAAGCTTCACAGCATGGGTAAAATTTGAGTAAAATCTTGAAGAGCTTTGGTAAGTGGAAGTTATCTCTTCCAAAATTAAGTTCACTTGTTCCTGGCAGAGGAAACTTCTTGTAAGAAGGCCGGGGTGCAAACAGCCATATTTCAAGACCTACAATGGTATGCCACCTTTGGAGAATATCCATCAGCAGACTGACCTGTGTTGTTTGTCTTTCCCCACCAGGCATGAACTCCTTGAGAACAGTCAGCTTCTTATTCCTCACTGTGCACTCTCTCAGCAGCTGGCACAATGCCTGACAGAATGGGTGTTCTGTAGTGGTGGTGCCCTGAACTGAACTGAATCCTGACCATTCAGCCCTGCTCATAAAGATCCCCACTCAACCCTGTCATTTATAATACAGGGAATTTTCTAACTACTTTTATTCGTTTCACTTCAAATCAAAGTGCTGAACCCTTTGTGGAATTTTGTTGATTTGAAGTGAAGCATATTTATTTCCGTACTTCATCTATATTCCGTCTAATGTGCAATTTTAATTTCATTATTATCTTATTTGTCTTTTATCTTTTATTCAAAAGAGAAAAGCAAAGAGCCTGCATACATCAGTGGATCCCAGGAACAACTGAAATGTTTTTCTGAAACAAGGGAGACCAAAAGCTTTTATCCCTTCCTCCCAGTTATGGGAGCAGAAGCTCCTTGCAATTTCCCGAGATAATATTCCTATTCTGGCTTTTATTTGTAACCTTTTATCTCATTCAATTAATTTCATGCTTAGCAAAGGGATGCATGTGTATGACTTTTAAATTATTTTAAAGTGTATGAAAAAACTGAAAATGAGTGGAGTTCCTTGCCCTCACTCCATCACACATCACCCCATCCCACAATCTCAAGAGGTAACCACTTTCAACTCTTTTGGCTGTCTTTTGGTATTTTCACCTAACTTTCCAAAGTATATGCTTGTATTCTAGTTCTTTTATTGATTTTAGACATTTATCTATTAGCTGTTACTGTGCTATCTATAGCACTTCATTTCAGCATAGAATGAGATATGTGTGTGTTGGGTTAATTATAACCTGTGTGTGATCAGTTATTCTAATCACACCTTAGACACAGTCAGCTAATCAGGAAACCCACTCTCCAGAGGCTATCACTACAAATCCTTCTGTCTTGTTTATTTCTTACATCACAGGATTTGATAATTAGCATAATGAATACAAGAAATGGCTTTCCATAGGTGAATTAATGGCTTTTAATTGAAATTTGCATGAGCTGATCATTGGTAAATTAGATGTATTCAAGATACGTGGACTGGCTGAAATATTTTAGAGATTTCTCTATTTTTTCATTAAACATGAGTATAATCTAAAGAAGCCTGTAGTTTAAAGACTTAGAGTTAATCATAGGCTTAAACCCTAGAGGGTCCCGTGAACAGACTAATTTGGAGGGATTCTGATAGGCAATTGCCTGTTTTTAAAATTAACTAAATCCTGCCTCAAAAAATATTTCTTGTTTGTCTCTGATTACATTTTCATGTGGATTTTAGTTAGAACATCTAAAAGAATGAGAATGAGAACTCTTGAATCGTAGGATTGTTTGTGTGCCTGCTCGCTGATGAATGTTTATGTAATAGGAGAAATTTTATGTGACAATTTTTTCTGACTTGCCTTCTTCATTAAAGATTTGTTTGAGGATATTGAATAGTAGCTAAACACCACTGAATTCAACCTCCTTTGGAGGCTTTCATATTAACTAAAAAGAATCTAAGGGTTTATGTAGAACTAAGTTGGCTAAGTCAGTTTGCAGCAAATATTTATTATAGCAAATTATTCAGCTTGCTTATACATTTTCTATCTTACCCAATATTCCCTATAAATTATATAATTATTTTTGGTTAAATTATATAATAATCTTTGCTTAAATTATTATTTAGTGTTCTTATTATGATTACAAAAATATTGTTCATCCTAAGGCAAGTAGTTTATTTTGATTTTTCCTGTTACTGATCAATTTTTATTTTCTTCTGTAATAAGTGCCTCATTTTTTCATTCATTTCATTTCCTCCCTTCTTACAGTACCCTTCAACTGTCTGTTAATAAACATTTTTACACAACTAAACCTATCATATAACTGATCAGTTGCAATTTTTCTTCTGGAAACTACATGTCTATTCCATTCTTGACTGGTTGCTCTTTGCAGATCTAATGCTTTCCTTGAGACTCCTTTTACTATAAAACCGCTTTCGGAGGTGTGACCCCTGTGTCCTGAACCATTTTCTTTGTATTTCTTGGTTTATGTTCTAAATATACTGAAGAGCATACCCTGGTACTTTCCTGAGAAACGATGTACGTGAGGCAAACATGTGAAGCCCGTGCTATCTGAAATAGGAGAGGAATGCCTAGGTCATATTGTAGGTGTATATTTGACTTTTCAAGCAACTGAAACTGTTTTCTAAAGGTATTGCATCATTTTACATCTCCATCAGCAGTATAAATGAGTTCCAGTTGCTCCATATCCTCACCAACACTTGGTATGGTCAGTCTTCTTAATTTTAGCATTTCTAACAGGTTTGTAGTGGTATCTCATTGAAGTTTTAATTTGTATTTCTCTAATGGCTAATATTGAGCACCTTTTTAAGTGCTTATTTGCCATCCATATATCTTCTTTAGAAAAGTCTGCAAATTTTTTGCCACTTTTTAAAAGTTGTTTGTTTTCTTATTAATTAGTTTTGAGATTTCCTTATAGATTATGGATTCAAATCCTTTAACATATATATGACTTGCAAATATTTTCTCTCAATCTGTGGCTTGTACTTTTGCTATTTCAATAGTGTCTTTCAAAGAGCAGAAGTTTTCAATTTTGTTGAATTCCAATTTTTTTTAATTTTATGGACTATGCTTGTGGTGATTTGTCTGATCCAACATCACAAATATTTTCTCCTCTTTTGTTTTCTTTTAGAAGTCTTATAGTTTTCAGCTTTTACATTTAGGTCTATGATTCATTAGGGCTAACTTTTGTTTATGGTACAAAGTATGAATCCAAGTTTATTTTTTTACATATGAATATCCAAATTTTCAACATGTCAACAACTTTGAAAAGACTTTTTAAAACTGATTGGCTTTGCGCTTTTGTTGAAAATCATTTGACTATGTACATGTGGATTTATTTCTGAACTCTTTATTCTATTCCACTGATGTACTGTATTGTATATGTTCTGCCAGTACTGCAATGTCTTAATTGTAGTTCTATAATAACTCCTGAAATCAGGTACTTTAAGTCCTCCAACTTTGTTGTTCTTATGCAACATTATTTTGGTTATTCTATGTCCTTTGCATTTTCATATGAATTTCAGAATCAGCTTGTAAATTTCTGCAGAACATTTTCTGGGATTCTGACAGAAATTACATGAAATCTATGAATCAGATTGGGGAGAATTACAATATTGGATTCTTCTAACCCATAAACATGGTATTTCTCTCTATGTCTTCTTTAATTCTTTTGGCAGAGTTTTATAGTTTTTAAGGAAACTATAGAACTTATGCAGACTTATCACTAAGTAATAATTTTGACACTGCTGCATTTTGCATTTAAATTTCTGATTGCTCATTGCTAAAAATAGAATTTATTTTGTATACTGATCTTGTCTTCTTCAACTTTTCTAACTTATTAGTTCTAGTTTCATAGTTGTAGATTCCATAGGAATTTACCATGTATGATCACGTTATCTGAATAAAGACAGCTATACCTCTTTTATTCCAAAATGAGTAACTTTTTTTTAACCTTGTCTTATTGCACTGGCTAGAACCATTGATACAATCCTGAATAGAAGTAGTGACAGAAGCCATCCTTGCCCTGTACTTGATATTAAGGGGAGAATATTGAGTCTTTTCACGATTAAGTATGCTGGTAATTGTAGTTTTTTGTTAAAGGCTTTTTTTTCAGGTTCAATGGATCCCCTTCTTTTGATAGTTTACTGAGAGTTTTTATCAGTTGAGATATTGGATTTTGTTAAGTATAGTATCATCATATATTGAGATAATCACATGGTTTTCCTTTCCCTTTGTGGTCTGTTAATATGGCAAATTACGTTGACTGATTTTCAAATTGAAAACTTTACATTCCTAGTCTATTTACTTGGTCATGATATATTATTATTTGTATGTATTGATGGACTGAATTGCTAACATTTTGTTTATATCTATGTATCTGAGAGAGATGGACCTGTAATTTTCTTTTAATATGTTTTGGTCTGGTTTGCTATCACAGAAATCCCAGCCTTTTAGAAGAAATTGGAAAGAATGCCTTTGCCTTCAGTTTTTGGAAAGCGTTTGTGTATAATTGGCATTACTTCCTCCTTTAAATGTTAGCTAGAATTTACCTGTGAAGCCATCTAGACCTAAAGTTTCTTTATGAGAATATTTTTAACTACAAATTTAATTAGTTGATATTACAGAGCTCTTCTAGTTCTGTTCTTCCTTAAGCTGAGCTTTAAAAGTTTGTTTCTTTAAAGAATATCTACATTCATTAAATTTTAAAAGTTATTGGCATAAAGTTGTTTATCATGGTCCCTTTTTAAAAAAATTTATTGACACATAATATTTGTACCTATTTATGGAGAGTACCTGCGATATTCTGTTACATGCATAAAATGTGTAATGATCAAATCAGGATGTTTAAGATATCCATCACCTCAAATATTTATCACTTTATGTGTTGAAAACATTTTAAGTCCTGTTTACCAGCTATTTTGAAATATACAATGCATTATTGTTAACTTTGGTCACCCTATTCTGCTATCAAACATTAGAAAACGTATTCATTCTATCTAACTGTATGTTTGTACCCATGAACCAACCTCTCCTCACCCCCCAACACACTATTCCCTATTCCCAGCCTCTGGTATCTATTATTGTACTCTCTACCTCCATAAGATCAACTTTTAGCTCCCAAATATGAGTGAGAACCTGTCATATTTCACCATGTCTCTTGGTACTCTTTTGTTATGTCTAGAATATTTGATGATGTCAATTATCTCATTCCTAATATCAATAATTTGTGTCATTTCTATTTTTTCCTAATCAGCCTGGAAAGTTTATCAACTTGATTTTTATTTTATTTTGTATATTTTGTATTTTGTTTCTTTTTAGTGTCTAAGAGTTTTTGCTTAGTCTTAGAGTATTTCTATTTGAAATATGTTATTTTTGTTGAATAAATATTTCCTTTATCTCTTTTAAGATTTTGTTGGTATTTTTTCCTTTTGATTTCATTTTAATTTGCTATATCAGTCTGTCTTTCATGATGATGACTTTCCTCAAATGTCTGATGAGTTATTAAAAGTGAGGCAGAGAAAGCATTTCTTTAAGAGGATTGACAAATATCAAGAATCTTATTTCCTGTTTTGGCAGTAGTGGTTGGGGTTTGGTGGTAGTTAGTGGATAGCCTGGCTATCATTATTCAGCAAGTAAATGTGAAAAGGAAGTTTAGGATGCTGTTTTCAAATAATTTCCCAATTTAAAGTCTTGTGCTTCATCATATCTTCTGTTGTTGTCCCTGAATTCAGGATCTCTCTCTCTTTTATTTCCTCCATCTTCTGTGAATGGAGAAAAGAAATTGCTTAGTTGTTCAATGTATGTAAACAGACCTAATCGGGGAGAAGGGGCTGTCTAAGAGTTTTCTACATACAGGCATACTATGGAGATAATGCAGGTTCAGTTCCAGGCAACTGCAGTGAAGCGACTACTACAACAAAGTGAGTCATAAGAATTGTTTGGTTTTCTAGTGCATCTAAAAGTTATTTTTTAGCTTGGCCAACATAGTGAGACCCTTTCTACGAAATAAAAATAAAAATAAATAATTAGCCAGGCATGGTGGTACATGCCTCTGGTCCCAGCTACTCTGGAGGCTGAGGTGGGAGGATTGCTTGAGGCTGGGAGGTCGAGGCTGTAGTGAGCCCTGATTACACCATTGCATGCTAGTCTGAGCAATACAGCAAGACCCTATCTCAAAAAAAAAAAGTTATCTTCACAGCATACTGTAGTATGTTAAGTGTGCAATAGCAGTATGTCTAAAAAATAATGTATATACTTTAATTTTAAAATACTGTCTTGCTATAAAATACAAACAATCATCTGAACCTTCAGCAAGTCATAATATTCTTGCTGATGAGAATATTTCCTCCATGTTGATGGCTGTTGGCTTCTCAGGCTGGTGGTTGTCGAAGGTTGGGGGAGCTGTGGCAATTTCTTAAAATCACAATAAAGTTTGCCACGTTCATTGACTCTTCCTTTCACAAAAGATTTTTCCATAACATGTGATGCTGTTTGATAGCATTTGACCCACAATAGAACTTTTTTCAAAATTTGAGTTAAAAAACAGTTTGACTAAAACCTCTCCAACCCTGCCACTGCTTTATCAACTAAGTTGATGTTCTATTACATGTCATTTGTTGTCATTTCAACAATGTTCACAGCATCTTTACCACAGGTAGATCCCCTCTCAAGAAACCACTTTCTTTGCTCATCCATAAGAAACAACTCCTCATCCATTCAAGTTTTATCCTAAGATAGCAGCAATTCAGTCACATCTTTATAAAGTCACATCTTTATAAAGTTCTTTAGAAAGAACTAATTCTAGTTCTCCTGCTCTTTCTGCCATATCTCAGTGACTGCCTCCACTGAACTCTTGAACCCCTCAAAGTCACACCCTTGAGGGTTGGAATCAACTTCCTCCAAAGTCCTGTTAATGTTAATATGTTGATCTTCTCCTATGAATCATGAATGTTGTTAATGGCATCTAGAAATCTGAATTCTTCCCAGAAGACTTTCAATTGATGTTGTCCAGATCCATCAGAGGAATCACTGACTCTGACAGCTACAGCCTTATAAAATGTATTTTGTAAATAATAAGACTTGAAAGTTGAAATTTCTCCTTGATCCATGGATTGTAAAATGGATGCTGTGTTTGTTAGCAGGCATGAAAATGCTAATCTCTTTATAATCTGCATCAGAGCCCTTGAGTGACCAGATGCATTGTCAATGAGCAGTAACATTTTAAAAGGAATCTTTTTTTCTGAGCAGTAGGTCTCAACAGAAGGGTTAAAATATTCAGTAAACTATGCTGTACACAGAAAGTCTGTCATCCAGGCTTTGTTGTTCCATTTGCAGAGTGCAGGAAGAGTAGATTTAGCGTAATTCTTGAGGGCCTTAGGATTTTCAGAATGGTAAATGAGCACTGGCCTAGTCACCAGCTGCACTAACCCCCTGACAAGAGAATCAGCCTGTCCTTTGAAGCTTTGGAGCCAGGCATTGACTTCTCTCTAGCTATGAAAGTCCTAGATAGTATCTTATTTCAATATAAGCCTGTTTTATCTACATTGAAAATCTGCTGTTTGATGCAGCCACCATCATCAATGATCTCAGCAAGATCTTCTGGAAAACTTGGCATAGTTTCTATATCAGCATTTTCTGCTTCACCTTATACTTCTATGTTATGAAGACAACTTATTTCCTTAAGTCTCATGAACCAACCTCTGCTAGCCTTCATAGAATTGGAGAGTTAGGGCCTTGCTCTGGATTAGGCTTTGGCTTAAAGAAACATTGAGACTGATTTTATCTTCTATCCAGTCTGCTCAATATCAGCAATAAGGCTGTTTTGCTTTCCTATCATTCATGTGTTCACTGAACAGCACTTTTAATTTCCTTCAAGAACTTTTCCTTTGCTTTCACAACTTGGCTGTTTGGTACAGTAGGCCTAGGTTTTAGCTATCTTGACTTTTGATATGCCTTCCTCACTAAGCTTTCTCATTTCTACCTTTTGATTTAAAGTAAGAGTTATACAACTATTCTTTTACTTGAACATCTAGAGGCCATTGTATGGTTAATTTTAATGGCCTAATTTTAATATTGTTTTGTCTCAGAAAATAGGCCTGAAAAGTAAGTGAGAGAGAAGAGAAGAGCTGGTTGATGAAGCAGTCAAAACACATACATTTATCCATTAAGATTGCCATTTTATATGGGCACAGTTTGTGGTACCCCAAAACAATTACAATAGTAACATGAAAGATCACTGCTCACAGATCACCATAACAAATATGAAAATAATGAAAAAGTTAAAAATATTAAGAGGATTATGAAAATGTGACACAGAGACCCAAACTTAGCACATGCTGTTGCAAAAATGATGCCAATCATCTTGCTTGATGCAGGGTTGCAAACTTCAATTTATTTAAAAAAAAAAACAAACACGATATCTGTGAAATGCAATAAAACAAACTGTGCCTCTATATGCTTTCAAACAAATGCTTGTGTTTATATCAGACCAACTCATCTCTTTCTCCCATGGTAACTTGTGCCTCCAACCATTGCAGGCACTTCATTTGCTTGGCAAAGTCAGTTACTCTTCCTTCACTTGCTCTTCATTTTTAAATTTGTTGACTTCTTTCATCTGCTACTGTTTTTCTTTTATTATTAAAAAAATTTACTGTCACTTTTTATGAGGTTTTAGAAAGGGGGTTCAGTAAATGTACATTTTAAATTTCCCATGATTAACTGAAAATTATATGATGGAATTTTTGTTCAGCTATGGAAGTTTAATGACCTTAAATCATTGCTTCTCAAAACAGTGGATAGGCAGACTGAAAGTTCTTTCCCATTGAGAAAAATAACAAGCTTCATGGGGACTCAAGAAATTTGCTGAAAGTGTTTCTATCTTTCCCTAGTCCGTTAAATTAAGAAGACTCATTAACAAAAATATATATGATTTTCAATATGCATCACCTCTTCCTATCTACTAAGCCATCTGAGAGGGCCATATTAGGGGATGCAGCATAAGTAGATGAGATATTATTTAGAATATGCCCTTTATTACAAGCCTTTTAGTTTTTCACTGATTAAGTATATAGCTCTGATTATTTCTGTCAGATTACTTTTTAATTGTATAGATTACTAATAATTATTTTATTAAAATATTTTCTTTAATATGATCACTTTTCTAAGAAGATTTAAGGTATCTTATACTGGCTTAACTCAAAGTGATTTACTTTTTGTCAAGATACATCTTCATTCATTGAATAAATATTCAAATTCTGGGCTTCAAAAGGATTCTTGTGACGTACAGTTGTTCAGCTTACATCAAAAATATAGTTCTATTGAAAGTCATTGAATTGAGTGACTTGAGTGTAAGCATTAGCAAGGTTTTCTTTCTGGCTGTTTCATCAGGATGCAGTGTTACTCAAAATCTAACTTTCTGTAGAAATCTTACCAAGATTATCTTATGATACAGAAAATTGAATGATAATACCGGCCATAAAATTTGCCTAAGCAAAACTATCTATTGAAGTCTTATGGAGCATACTCCCTAAGCGTCTATTGTGCCTAACCATTTAAACAAATTAAAAGTTCTATTTAGAAAAAGTTGGCCTTACTTTCTTGCCCACCTGTATTTCACATGTAGAAGATGATTGGCCTATCTTCAAAGTTAAAATGCAAATCAGTCTTTTAAACTTTTAGAACAAATTGATGACTTTGCTAATTTACTTTCATGCATGAAACTTATCAGTGTCATTGTGATTATTGCTGAAGAAACTCTTCATTCTTTACAGAGCTCAATTTTGAATTCACTGTTACCTGGATACTGTCAAAATATCATCAATACTAATACTTTTTGAGAAAAATACTTTGATACTTTAGGTAACCATATCCTTGCATCAATTTATTTCATCAACAACTTACTATAGCTACATATAGGAATGCTTTCATTGAGTTACTATTTAATGTTAAGCCTCAATTTCCACTATACTTTGTTTGAAAAAATAGATATATAAATACTATTTGGCCAGGTGAAATGGCTTACACCTGTAATCCAAACACTTTGGGAAGCCAAGGCAAGAGGATTGCTTGAACCTAGGAGTTCAACAAGCCTGGACAACATAGTAAGAACCTGGGTCTATAAAAAAAATAATAATAATAAAATTAGCCAGGCATGATGGTATACACCTATAGTCCCATGTACTTGGGAGGCTGAGGCAGGAGGATCCTACCTCAACCTCTTGAGTCAAAGATGTTGGGGTGTGGTGAGCCGTGATTACAACACTGCACTCCAGCCTGAGTGATAAAGCCAGATCCTGTTTCAAAAAGTAAAAGACAAATACACCTTCTATAAAATTAGGCTTGTAGATAATATCCCTTAAATGACAGCACTCCACAAAGATTTGAGTGGCAAATTTTACTTGAACTTCAAAGCTAATTTAAGGAATTTAATGTTTGCCTCTACGGGCAGTATTATACATGTTTTGTTGTTACTATTGTTGTTTTGTTTTTCTTTTTTTCTCAAGAGAAGTGTCTTGCTATGTTGCTCAGGGTAGACTACAATGGCTATTGACAGGTACAACCATAGCACATTACAGCCTCAAATTCCTGGGCTCAAGAAATCCTCCTGCCTCGCCCTCTCAAGTAGCTGGAACTAAAGGCGTATGCCAGATTGTTTCATGTTTTTAATAAGACTCCCAGATTGTTTCATGTTTTTAATAAGAATAACTACATAATATATTTATGCTTCCTTTGTGCCATAGCTTAAAAGCTCAGAACCAAATTTTATACTCAAAATATCCTCATCCACTGCTTTGCCATAGTTACCACTTCCTTTCTTCTAACTGATATCATGTAGCTCCTTTACTAGTCTTTATAGTATTGTATATATGTTTTTATTGCAAGTTTGCCTAAATTCTTTTAAGAAATAGAGTATAAACAGAGGAAATATTTTAAAAATCAGTTCTCATTGAGATCAACTTACATTGCATTAGTATTTCTATAATATTTTTGTAGTGAAATCAACATTGTTTCTCCAAATCTTAACTACGGAGGCAATTCAAGTGATGTTAAGCTGACAGGGAAAAAGAAGGAAATATCTGCATAAACTGATTTTCAACTTTCATTTCCAAAGAAAGAAAAGTTTGAATTATGTAACTGTGTGCTTTTGTAACTAAGCATTTTTATGTTGATATCAAGGAATCTGAGGTCAATCATGATACTTTCTAACTCTTTTGTAGCTTCTAGAAATCTAGCACAATTTTATAAATATAAAAAATGATCAATAGCTTTTTCTTTCATTTAACCAATTTATTGTGCTCCTACTTTATGCCAAGCTTTTTTCTTGGCTGTGGGATTAGACCAGTGAACAAGACAGATGAGGATTTCAGCTCCCACAGAGCTTATATTCTAGTGGGCAGGAGGGGGGAGATAATAGATAGTAAATTAAATAAATAGATTTCATTAATTTTAAATAACTTACAAAAATTTAAAAATACCTTTACATATACTGATGGAAAGTGATAAGCTGTGAGCAAAATGGACCCGAAAGCAGAACAGGAGTATTGGGCAGGGGAATGGGGTAGAGAAAGGAGTATTTGAAATAGAGTGACTTGGGTAGTCCTCATTATGAATGATATTAGTATTATGATATGTATAATCACTGTTTAAAGCAATTTGTCTTATAATTTTATAATCTCTGTCATTTATTTGTTGGTCGATACTGATTTTTTTTCCCTCCTGGTTGAGTACTATTTTTCCACTTCTTTGTAACCCTGGGAATTTTTAACTGGATGCTAGATGTGAATTTTACATTTTTGAGTGTGGAATTCTATTGTATTCCTTTAGGGAGTGTTGGATTTTGATCCAGCACACATTGAGTTATTTGGAGTCATTTTGATCCTTTGAAAGCTTTCTTTTTAGCTTTGAGAATCAAGATTCAGAGCAGCCTTTACTCTAGGGATATTTTTGCACCACTAAGACAAGTAATAGTCTTCTGAAAACTCTACTAAATGTCCCTTGTATTTTGAGATTCTTTCCCCTCCAGCAGTTGGAAACACAGACTATCCTCTGCCTTGTGTGATTTTGGGGGATGTTTGATCTCTTGCTTTCTGGTGGTTCTTTCCTCTGCCGCGAGGAGTTCCACCCTGCCTATGTGTAGTGTCAATCTCCACCCAAGACTGGAAAGAACCTTCTCTACAGAGCTCCAGAGCTTCCTCTCTTCACAGCTCTCTCCTCTCCATATTCAGCTACATACATTCTAGACCCCTATACCTCCTTCTTCTTTAAAATTCTGACTGTTCAACTCAGCAAGTCCTCCAGGCTCTGTTGGGGTTCCCTCTTCCTGCCTTATGCCCCAAAAGCTGCCATCACTCAGTGACTTGGGAAGTCATAGGGCTCGACTTTCCCTTCTTTTAGGAATCACCCACCTATGTTGTCTAAGAATGTTTCAAAACCATTATTTTATATATTTTTTCTGTGTTTATATTTGCTTAGAGCACAAGGGCAATTCTCCTACAAGTTAATCCTTTATGAGGACAGGAGTCCTTCATAATTTTTAAGGTAGTAAAGAGTTTGAAGTTATCACTCTTGTAAGATTTTTAAAATATTTCTTAAGCTACTGAAGATTGAAATTATCATGTTTTTTCCCATTTTGTGACTTTTTCTTGATTTCTTTATGAGTTCTCAACAAGGACGGAGCACATAGTCTGTGGAATACTAGAGTTGGAAAGAATTTTATTTTTATTTTCACTGAAAATTGAGTAAAAAATGTGAATATAAATGCTATTATGTGATATTTCATGTACTAAGTATTTCTTATGTTCAAACATTATCAAAATAAGCTCAAATGGAAAGCATTATGTCCCAAGCAAAAGAAAGAAAAAAAAACATTTTTTCTAACTGTAAAAAAGTACCATATTAAAGAAATGAAATTTTATATAGCAGACTTTTGTCTCACTAAATTCAAGGACACTCACCTCCTACTACAAGAAGTACAGGCTTTTTCTACCTGTAGATAAGATAATCAGGCATCAGAAATTTATTCTGTGTGTTTTAACTCAGTAATTATGTCCATATTTTAGCAGCCTATAAAGTTTATTTTTTAGAGATAGATCCAAATCATATAAGTAAGGGCATATTGTTGTTTTATTAAAAGCTTGCATTGAAAAATCCTTTTTAGGCCTTTTTTTTTTTTTTTTTTTTTTTTTAAGGTTTTAGTGCTTTTGTTTAAGGAGCGCCCCAGGTAAAAAGCCATTCTTTGCAACCCCTTCTGACCTTTAGAATAGTGAAGAGAATATGACACTATATAAGGCAGAACACCAATTTTATCACAATGCTACTCTTATAGAACTGTGTGGAATACTAGAAATTGATTCTGCAGTCTGTTTTTCTAAGCAAGTCTTTTCAATGACATCATTCCATTCAGACAGTGACCATAGACCTCATTTTAAATGTGCAGAGTTTCATGACAAATTTGTTTTAGTGTATTACTCTAACCAATGAGTAATAAAATATCATGGGTATATGTTGACTTTTGTAATGGTTACTCATCAGGATAATTCTGTTCCCATACGCATTAAATATTTCCTTTTTATAATGATTATTAAAATCAACCTTTTAGGAAGTTAAAAAAAAATGAGACTTCGAGATTTATATACAAATAAAGAAAATGTGTGTGTGTGTATACTTATAATAGAAACCGCATTGTGTTCAAAAAGGTGTATAAGACATTCAAAAAGGTAGAGAAATTTAAAATAATTTAAAGTAATGTTACTAGTTTGCCAGGGCTACCGTAACAAAGTACCAAAATCTGAGTGACTTAGAACAACAGAAATTTATGGTATCAGTTCTGAAGTCTGAAATCAAGGTGTCACCAGAGCCATGCTCTCTCTGAAACCTGTAAAAGAATCCTTCCTCAGCTCTCTTGAGCTTCTGGTGGCTTGCCAGCAATCATTAAAGCATTCTTTGGTTTATAGGCGCATCACTCCAAACCTCTGGCTTCACAGTCATGTGTGTTTTTATATAATCCCCTTCTGTGCATGTCTTTCTATGTGTCCATATATACCATTTCCCTCCCCCAACCCCTTTTTTAGACAAGGTCTCATTCTGTCACCCAAGCTGGAGTGCAGTGGTGGAATCATGGCTCACTGTACCCTCAACCTCTTGGGCTCAAGTGATCCTCCCACCTCAGCCTCCCAAATAGCTGGGACCATAGGCATGTGCCACCACACCTGGCTAATTTTTTTTATTTTTTTAGAGATGGGGGTCTCACTGTGTTGCCCAGGCTAGTCTGAAACCCCTGGGCTCAAACAGTTCTCCTGCTTTGGTTTCCCAAAGTGTTGGAATTACAGGCATGAGCCACTGGGCCTGACATTGCCCCTTTTTGTAAGGCTATCAGTTATACTGGATTAGGGCCCACCCAAATGACCTCACTTTAATTTGATAACCCCTTGTGTTCAGTAAAGTCACACCCTGAGCAACTGGGGGTTAGAATTTCAGCGTATCTTTTGGGCGGACAAAATTCAACACATAACTATGAAGTCATTTTTTAATATGAAGCAAAAATTCACATGAAGTTATAGTTTTTTTATATGGTTATACTTTTTTACAACTTGTGTTTTAGATACAGGCGGTGCATGTGCAGATTTGTTACATGGGAATAGTGTATAATGCTGAGTTTTGAAATACATATCCTGTCACCCTGGTAGTGAGCATAATGCCCAATAGGTAGTTTTTTAACTCACCCACCCCTCCATCCTCTCGTGGTCCACAGTGACTGTTGTTCTTATATTTATGTCCATGTGTACTCAATGCCTAGCTCTACCACTTATAAGTGAGAACACGTAGTATTTGGTTTTCAGTTCTACATTAATTTGCTTAGGAATATGGCCTCCAGCTCCAGCCATGTTGCTGCAGAGGACATAATTTCATTCTTTTTTATGGCTGCATAGTATTCCATGGCATATGAAGTCATTTAAATACACACATATACTTGCAACACCTTTATTGAAATTTTTACAATAAGAATAAAACAGGGACTATGATTAGTAGAAGAGGCAGAAGGAGTAATAACATGTTTATTGAGTACTTATTCCATTGAGCATATAGCATCTCCCTTAGTTCTATGAGGAAGTCACTGTATAGTGTACACTTTACCTCAGTTGAGGAAACTGAGGCATAGAGAAATGAAATCATTTGCTCAAAGTTCCACAGCTTTTAAGTGATAAAACTGGAAGTCAAATTAAGGTCTCTGAATCAAGAGCCAAAACTTGTAACCACTGGCATTCTTAAACATTTTTTTGTGCCATGAATCTCACTGGCAGTTTGAGAAGCCTGTGGAACTCTTTTCAGAAAAATTATTTTTATGCATAAAAGAAAACATATACAATTCAAAAATAGCTATTGAAATCAGTTATCAAAATATTTTAAATAAAAAATGGTAATAATATTGGCTGAACCATACAAAACTTGTTTTCCTAGATAAAATTTATACAAATATTGGCAATTTCATATAGTTCATCCTAACAGTAACATATGATTTTATTAATGATTAAGTAAGATCAAGTGATACATTTAATAACTGCTATAATTTCAAAGTAGTGATAAGCATAACATTTCAATATATTTGCTATAATATTAATATGATATGAAAACATCTGTGATTTCTGTTGGTGACAAAATTGCAAATACTGCTAATACTGCTGTGTTTCTTTCCATTTAAAGTAATGATAAATTTCAATTAGAGATTAATAAAATAAAAGCTGTACATTTTTCCCATCAGAGTTCACAGACTGTATGGCGAACCAGAGGAGAGTTCACAAACCTCAGGCTAAGAACTGAACTAAAGTCTGGTGCCACTTTTAGGATGTTTCGTTAATTTTTTTCATTTGAGAGAAATGCTTGAAAATTAATTTATTAGGTCTTAAACTTATGTTTAATATTTTAATGATAAAATAAAACTTTTCTATCTCTTTGGATAGGCCCTATGGGCCATTTTACTGTATCACTCTGCATGTGCCCTATACCATGCTACATGAAGACAGTCTTATGTTTATATCTATGCATGTAACTTTTATTTATAAGATATAATGTAAATAAAAGTCCATAAAAGTTAATTTTCAAATCCTCAGAATCAGAATCATTCATATGTTGTATTTTCATTTGTAAGTTTCTCTAAGTTCTTCAGTAATATACATGCACACATAGCAACTCTTTGTCTAACATTAATATTCTTTAGTTTGTTAACAAAATGAGAGAAAGATAACAGATGAGCCTAGGAAAAGTATCATTAATAGTGTGAAGTTACATGACAATAAGGCATCAAATTCATGGTTGTTCATAAAAAGGAAAATATTTTTCTTAGGGATTCTCAACTCACTTCTCGATGGCCCTTTCTAATATTCTCTTGACCTCCTTTGAGATCCTGACCCTAACTTTAGAGAAACCACCCTGCAAAGTCACTACCAAGGTTGGCCAGGGAGAAATGAGTGTCTCTTTAAAACACAATAGTATTTCCTCTTATTAAATACATTAGGATAAAGAACAAAATTAACATAATAACATTGATACATTTGCAAAAACAACCAACTGTAAAAGAAAGTGATAAAACAAGCAGTTTGTACATTTTCTTTTTACAACACTTGTTAAACTAATTTAAGTGTCCTGCCTCCAGCAGCAGCTTAGAGAGGATGCTCTTTAAGTGATTATTCTTAAATAGGTTATTATTTTAAATGAACTCCTTAAGAGCCACATGTGTGGCATCTGGTTAATCCATTACATTTGCAATTACAAACCCGTGCTTTTTATGGCAAGAAAATTATTTTGTATGCTCCACAGCTGCACTTAGGACAGAAGCCTCCGCCCATGACATTTCTCTTGATAAACATTAAGGGAAGCACTATCCTGTACCCAAGGGTGACTACGCTTCTTAAATCACTTCTAATGTGCTACAGAAAGTCTCTTCTAATACTATTTCTCTGAAAGAGCAAACTTTGTATTCTATATGGGCTTGTAGGACTGAAATTCTTTTTGCTCTTAGTTTTAGCCCATGTGTCTATTTTAATGACCACTGCAGAGCAGATGAGCAATCAGCTTGTGAACTCTATTATACAAGTAACTTATACAGCATTGAAAGGATGTGAACATTGAGCTATGTTCACATTACACATCTGATGCTCAGATGTGGTCTACTAAACTGACAACTGTCAAACTTCAAGTTTTGTTTTGTTTTAAAGCAGGGTGCTTAAGATTTTGATTTGATTCCAATCTATGTTCTATTACTTATTAGCTATAAGACTGAACAAGTTATATAACCTCCCTAAGCTTTAGTTTCCTCATGGGTAAAATGGGGATAATAATTCCCTATTTTATAGGGTTATGTGAGAAGTGAATGGGATGAGATGCTTTATGTAAAGTGCTTACTGAGAACCCAGCTCAGCGTAAACATTCAATAAATAACTATTATTGTTATTAAAATATGTATATAAGCCCAACTACCACTAACCTAAAAGAGGATTTGAATGAATCTGTTCAGGGTGCCAACCAAGTTCTCATGCGCCAGAGCTAGTGTGAAAGAATTTCCATAAGATGCCAAAAACAGAAAGAGCTTGGATTCCATGTTAAAGTCTTTAGAGAGTTTAATAAAATTTAAGCTGGGGAAATCAAGATTGGTTAGCAAGTCAAGGGAGGAAGTGCAGAACTGAAAGCTAAGGATAAATTCATAAGTTTAAAAGGTCAAGTTATGGGGGCCGGGTGCATGGCTCAGCACTTTGTAACCCCAGCACTTTGGGAGGCCAAGGCGGGCAGATCACGAGGTCAGGAGATCGAAACCATCCTGGCTAACACAGTGAAACCCTGTCTCTACTAAAAATACAAAAAATTAGCCGGGCGTGGTGGCGGGCGCCTGTAGTCCCAGCTACTCAGGAGGCTGAGGCAGGAGAATGGTGTGAACCCAGGAGGCGGAACTTGCAGTGAGCAGAGATCACGCCACTGCACTCCAGCCTGGGCGACAGAGCGAGACCCTGTCTCAAAAAAAAATGGTCAAGTTATAACATTGATGGGATTCCAATATACATTGGAGTGAGTTTAATAGACATTTGGTGACTAGTAAGAAGATAAGCCATAACTTGCTTCCATTGTCCATTAGAACCTGGCATGTGGCTGGCTCAAAGATATCAGGTGATCGTGCACAAAGTGATGTAGTATTCCTAATCATCTATTTACTCACTTTTAAGTGCCTATGGACTGCCAGGCATTGAATTTCATTCTAGAGCTAACTAGGTACAAAGACATGGATTTTTCCATGAAGGATCTTAGAAGAGGGTTGACATCTGAGCTATAAAGAAAGAGCAATTCTCAACTTTCTCATTTAGGTAACAGAATACATAGTGATGAGCAAGTCACATAGGTAAGTAACACATGCAGAGGTGCAGGTTTGAAGGGAGAGAAAATAGAACCTGTTGGGATATGCTGAGTCTGAGCTCCCTGCTAGTCATCTAAGACTTGAAAACACACAGCTAAATACATAGTTGGAACTTAGGCAAGAGGCCTGAGTTAGTTGCCCTCCAGTGTAGGTATGGGACTTATAGACATGGAATGGTATATTAGTCCGCTCACACTCCCACAAGAACATACCACAGACTGGGTTGCTCAGACAGTAGAAATCTATTTTCTCACAGTTCTGGAGGCCAAATGATTCAAGATCAAAGTGCTGGCAAATTCACTTTAGGATGAGGGCTCTCGTTCTGGTTTGTAGACTGCCACATTCTCACTATTTCTATGTATGACCCTTCCTCGGTGCATTCAGGCAGGCAGAGAAAGAAAGCAAACTCTCTGATGTTCCTTCCAATAGAAACCATTAATCCTATTGCATCAGGACTCGTATACTTTGTTTAACCTTAATTGCTTCCTTAGAGGCCCCGTTTCCTAATACAGCCACACTGGGCATTAGAATTTCAACATATGAATTTTAGGAGACACAAAAACATTATTCCATAACAGATGGAATAAGAATGCTAAGGATGTGGTAGTGAATGGGAACTAAAGCTATTCAAGGACAAAAGCATAGAAATCTTGCATTGAAGAGTAGATGGTAAAAGAGAAACTAGTTAAGGGACTGTGAAAGAGTGGTCAGAGGGAAAGGAGAAAGCTGGAAAAGAGAATGTTGGCCGGGCGCGGTGGCTCACGCCTGTAATCCCAGCACTTTGGGAGGCCGAGGCGGGCGGATCAGGAGGTCAGGAGATCGAGACCATCCTGGCTAACACGGTGAAACCCCGTCTCTACTAAAAATACAAAAAATTAGCCGGGCGTGGTAGCGGGCGCCTGTAGTCCCAGCTACTCGGGAGGCTGAGGCAGGAGAATGGCGTGAACCCGGGAGGCGGAGCTTGCAGTGAGCCGAGATCGCGCCACTGCACTCCAGCCTGGGCGACAGAGCGAGACTCCGTCTCAAAAAAAAAAAAAAAAAAAAAAAGAGAATGTTATAAAATTGATGTAAAAAATCAAGAGGAGAGAAGTTCAAGTAGTAAACAATCAACAGTATCAATCTGAGAGAAAGACTAAGTAATAATAAAACAAATTAGAGGCTGGGCACAGTGGCTTATACTTGTAATCCCAGCACTTTGGAAGGCCAAAGTGGGAATATCACTTAAGGCCAGGAGTTCAACACCAGCCTATTCTCGCAATATAGCAAGACTCCATCTCTACAAACATTTTTTTGAAAAATAGCCAGGCATGGTGGTGCGTGCCTGTAGTCCCAGCTACTCAGGAGGTCAAGGCAGGAAGATCCCTTGAGCCCAAGAGATTGAGGCTGCAGTGAGCTATGATCTCATGACTGCATTCCAGCCTGGGCAACAAAGACCCTGTCTCTAAAAACAAAAAAGAATAAAAGAAATAAATGATACTTGGATGTCCTATAGTCCACTTGATATTGAGTCAAAAACATTTATGAAAAATAAAAAATGTCTATAAGGCACACTTAAAATTTTTTTAATGAAAATAACTTTGTCGAGTCCTATGCCTAAAAGGGGATAGAGATAGATAGTTATTCTTAAATTTAGAGTGCCTACTCTATTGAATAGAAGAATATCAATAAGAAATTTGGCACTCTTTTAGTTTTTGAAATATTAATATCTGGGAATATTTAAAAAGGTTAACATAGGAACATCTTTCTATTTTTTCATCTCTTAGGCTTATAATTCATTTTAGAGTACAGATACATTTATTATCTCATTTTGTTTTCAAAACATTCTGCAATGGAGATATTCCTCCCAGCCACACTTAGAAAACTAAGGCTCAAGTAGATGAAGCAATTTTCCCAGCATCATACAGTGTTTCAAGATAGAGCAAAGACAAAATTTAGCTCATGCCACTCTTGCAGTTTTTACAGAATGCCTATTGTGCACCAAGTGCCAGCTGCCAGAGACAGAGATGGATAAAATGAAGCTTCACTGTACCTTGCCAGCTACTCCCCCATGTCCTTCCTTTACTTAGGCCTCCATCTCTCTTGGATACAAGTCTCTTTGCTTAATTTGAAAAGGGCTGACAAAGCTGTGATACCTACAATAACATCAACAGTAGCAGTTTCCCTAAAGAGCCCATATGTGTAAGGGAAGGTGGGAGAGGAAGGGGTCTACACCAAAGGCAGACCCTATTGGCAATCACTCATCTATTTCTGTGACCCTGGATGAACAATTTTAATTCAGTTCTTCATATTATGAAGCTCCCAAGGCCCAATTCTTCCACTATATTTGGACTGCTTTTGAAATTAGATCATTAATATGTTGAACCTAGTTGAGACTAGTCATGGCTCATGGTTCATAGTTTGTTCACAACCTGTGCAGGGGCACAGGGATGAACTAAGTGACATTTGGGTATCGTATACAGTAGTAGTAGTAGTAGTAGTGGTAGTAGTAGTAGTAGTAGTAGTAGTAGTAGTAGTAGTACTGCTACTACTACTCAAAGTGGGGTTTTGGACAAACAGCATAAACTACTGAATCAAAATCTCTGAGAGTGGGATCTAGCAATTTGTGTCTTACCAAGCCCTTGAGAGAGGCTATAGCATAAGAATCACTGGTATACAGCTATAGAATTCTTTTCCTCTACTATTTGGACAGAAATAGTGTTATGAATGTTCCTAGCAAAAATAGAATCCATCCATCAATGTAAAAGTTAATTCAAGAACATGTTTTACTTGAATCATTACCAGTCTATCTTTAATTATTATTACCTTTATCCACAGCAAGCTTTAAAATCTCTAAGTTTAATGTCCAAGCAAGCTCTCAGTACTGGTTAGTGCCATGTGAATAAATATATACTCCATATTAATAACATTGAAAGTTGAACTATATGACATTTCTCTCAATTCACCCTCATCTCATTGCTGTTTCCAAAAGTATTATGTGTGTTGATATTGTCTCTTCTGTTGGAGTATGAAAAATGAGTGCCAAAATGTTTATATTTATTCCATAAGTAATAAAGTAATGAAGGTTTATTATTTTTAAACTTTCATTTTAGGCTCAGGGTACATGTGAAGGTTTGTTACATAGGTAAATTCGTGACATGGGGGTTTGTTGTATAGATTATTTCATCACCCAGGTATTAAACCCAGTACCCAATAGTTACCTTTCTGCTCCTGTCCCTCCTCCCACCCTCCACACTCAAGTAGACTCCAGTGTCTATTGTTTCCTTCTTTGTGTTCATGAGTTCTCATAATTTAGCTCCCACTTATAAGTGAGAACACGCAGTACTTGGTTTTCTTTTCTTGCATTGTTAGTTTGGGAACTCTTGAGGCTGCAGTGAGCTATGATCTCATGACTGCATTCCAGCCTGGGCGACAAAGACCCTGTCTCTAAAAACAAAAAATAATAAAAGAAATAAATGATACTTGGATGTCCTATAGTCCACTTGATATTGAGTCAAAAACATTTATGAAAAATAAAAAATGTCTATAAGGCACACTTAAAATTTTTTTAATGAAAATAACTTTGTCGAGTCCTATGCTTAAAAGAGGATAGAGATAGATATGTTATTCTTAAATTCAGAGTGCCTACTTATTGAATAGAAGAATATCAATAAGAAATTTGGCACTCTTTTAGTTTTTGAAATATTAATAATAAATAAAGGTAACAGCCTTATCCATTTTCCTGCAAGAGACATAATCTCATTCTTTTTATAGCTGCATAGTATTCCATAGTGGATATGTACCATATTTTATTTATTCAATCTTTCATTGATGGGCATTTAGGTTGATTCCATGTCTTTGCTATTGTGAATAGTGCTGCAATGAACATTCACGTGCATATGTCTTTATGGTAGAATGATTTATATTCCTCTGGTTATATACCCAGTAAAAGGATTTCTGGGTCAAATAATAGTTCTGCTTTTAGCTTTTTGAGGATATACTGCTTTTCACAATGATTGAACTAATGTTCACTCCCACCAACAGTGTATAAGTGTTCCCTTTTCTCCAAAACCTTGCCAACATCTGTTATTTTTTTTACTTTTAAATAGTACCATCTCCTACCAATCAGAATGGCTATCTCATTGTGGTTTTGATTTGCATTTCTCTGATGATCAGTGATATTGAACTTTTTTTCATATGCTTGTTGGCCGCATGTATGTCTTCTTTTGAAAAATGTCTGTTTATGTCCTTTGCACACTTTTTAATGGGGTTATTTTTCTCTTGTAAATTTAGGTTCCTTATAAATGCTGGATTTTAGACCTTGTAAGATGCATGGTTTGCAAAAATTTTCTCCATTTTGTAGGTTGTATGTTCACACTGTTGATAGTTTCTTTTGCTGTGCAGAAGCTCTTAAGTTTAATTAGATCCCATTTGTCAATTTTTGCTTTTGTTGCAATTGTTTTGGTGTCTTCGTCATGAAATATTTGCCAGGTCCTATGTCCAGGATGGTAATGCCTAAGTTGTCTTCCAGGGTTTTTATGGTTCGAGGTGTTTACATTTAAGTCTTTCATTGATCTTGAGTTGATTTTTGTATATGGCATGAGGAAGGGGTCCAGCTTCAATCTTCTGCACCTGCCTAGCCAGTTATCCCAGCACCATTAATTGATTAGGAATTCCTTTTTCCTTGTAGAAAGCTGAAACTGGATCCCTTCCTTACACCTTATACAAAAATTAATTCAAGATGGATTAAAGACTTACATATTAGACCTAAAACCATAAAAACCCTAGAAGAAAACCTAGGCAATACCATTCAGGACATAGGCATGGGCAAGGACTTCATGTCTAAAACACCAAAAGCAACGGCAACAAAAGCCAAAATTGACAAATGGGATCTAATTAAACCAAAGAGCTTCTCTGCACAGCAAAAGAAACTACCATCAGAGTGAACAGGCAACCTACAGAATGGGAGAACATTTTTGCAATCTACTTATCTGACAAAGGGCTAATATCCAGAATCTACAATGAACTCAAACAAATTTACAAGAAAAAAACAAACAACCCTATCAGAAAGTGGGCGAAGGATATGAATAGACACTTCTCAAAAGAAGACATTTATGCAGCCAAAAAACACATGAAAAAATGCTCATCATCACTGGCCATCAGAGAAATGCAAATCAAAACCACAATGAGATACCATCTCACACCAGTTAGAATGGCAATCATCAAAAAGTCAGGAAACAACAGGTGCTGGAGAGGATGTGGAGAAATAGGAACACTTTTACACTGTTGGTGGGACTGTAAACTAGTTCAACCATTGTGGAAGTCAGTGTGGCGATTCCTCAGGGATCTAGAACTAGAAATACCATTTGACCCAGCCATCCCATTACTGGGTATATACCCAAATGATTATAAATCATGCTGCTATAAAGACACATGCACATGTATGTTTATTGTGGCACTATTCACAATAGCAAAGACTTGGAACCAACCCAAATGTCCAACAATGATAGACTGGATTAAGAAAATGTGGCACATATACACCATGGAATACTATGCAGCCATAAAAAATGATGAGTTCATGTCATTGTAGGGACATGGATGAAGCTGGAAACCATCATTCTCAGCAAACTATCACAAGGACAAAAAACCAAACACCGCATGTTCTCACTCATAGGTGGGAATTGAACAATAAGAACACATGGACACAGGAAGGGGAACATCACACACCGGGGACTGTTGTAGGATGGGCGGAGGAGGAAGAGATAGCATTAGGAGATATACCTAATGCTAAATGACGAGTTAATGGGTGCAGCACACTAACATGGCACATGTATACATATGTAACAAACCTGCACGTTGTGCACATGTACCCTAAAACTTAAAGTATAATAATAATAAAATTTAAAAAAAAAGGAATTCCTTTTTCCATTGCTGTTTTTGGCAGCATTGTTGAAGATCAGATAATCATAGGTGTGTGGCCTTGTTTCTGTGCTGTGTATTTTGATCCATTTGTCTGTGTACCTGTTTTTGTGCCAGTACCAAGCAATTTTGGTTACTGTAGCCCTGTAGTACAGTTTGAAGTCAGGTAATATGATACCTCTAGCTTTGTTCTTTTTGCTTAGGATTACCTTGCCTATTCAGGCTCTTTTTTGGTTCCATATGAATTTTAAAATATATTTTTCTAGTTATGTGAAGAATGTCATTGGTAGTTTGATAAGAATAGCATTGACTCTAAATTGCTTTGGGTGGTATGGCCATTTTAATGGTACTAATTCTTCCTATCTATGAGCATGGAATGTTTTGCCATTTGTTTGTGTTTTCTCTGATTTCTTTGAGCAGTATTTTGTAATTCTCGTTACAGAGACCTTTCATCTCCATAGTGAGCTGTATTCCTAGGTATTTTATTCTTTCTTTGGCAATCTGAATGGGATTGCTTTCCTGATTAGACTTTTGGCTCGGCTGTTGTTGCTGTATAGGAATGCTAGTGATTTTTATACAGTGATATTTTATCCTGAAACTTTGCTGAAGTTGTTTATCAGCTTCAGAGGTTTTGGGCTGAAACTATAGGGTTTTCTCTATATAGAAACATATCATCTGCAAAGAAGGGTAATTTGAATTTCTCTGTTCCTATTTGGATGCCCTTTATTTCTTTCTCTTGCCTGATTGCTCTGGCTAGGACTTTTACTACTATGTTGAATAGGAGTGGTTTGGGCATCTTTGTCTTGTTCTTGTCCAGGGTTTCAAGGGGAATGCTTCCAGCTTTTGCCTATTCACTATGATGTTGGCTGTGGATTTGTCATAGATGGCTCTTATTATTTTGAGGTATGTTCCTTCAACACCTAATTTATTGAGAGTTTTTAACATGAAGTGATGTTGAATTTTATTGGAAGGCTTTTCTGAATCTGTTGAGATAATCATGTGGCTTTTGTCTTTAGTTCCATTTATGTGATGAATCACATTTATTGAATTGTATATGTTGAACCAAACTTGCATCCTGGTGGGAAGCCTACTTGATCATGGTGGATAAGCTTTTTGATGTAGTGCTGCATTCGGTTTGCAAGTACTTTGTTGAGGATTTTTACATTGATGTTCTTCAAGACATTGGCCTGAAGTTTTCTTTTTTATTGTGATTCTGCCAGGTTTTGGTATCAGTATGATGCTGGTCTCATAGAATGAGTTGGGGAGAAATCTCTCCTACTCAATTTTTTGGAATAGTCTCATTAGGAATGGTACCAGCTCTTCTTTGTACATCTGGTAGAATTTGGTTATGAATCCATCAGGTCCTGGGCTTTTTTTGGTTAGTACTGAGCTTTTTTTGGTTTATACTGATTCAATTTTAGAGCTCATTAGTAGTCTGTTCAGGTAATCAATTTATTCCAGTTTCAGTCTGGGGAGGATGCATGTGTCCAGGAATTTACCTATCTCTTTCAGGTTTTCTAGTTTGTGTGCATAGAGTTATTTGTAGTAGTTTCTGATGGTTATTTTTATTTCTGTGGGGTCAGTGGTAACATTCCCTTTGTTATTTCTAATTGTGTTTATTTGAATCTTCTCTTTATTCTTTATTACTCTAGCTAGCAGCCTATCTATCTTATTAATTTTTTTCAAAATAAAACTAAACTCCTGGATTTGTTGATCTTTTGAAAGAATTTTAGGTCTCAATTTCCTTCAGTTCAGCTCTAATTTTGGTTATTTCTTGTATTCTGCTAGCTTTGGGATTGATTTGTTCTTGCTTCTCTAATTCTTTCAGTTGTGATGTAAAGTTGTTAATTTGAGATCTTTCTAACTTTTTGATGTGGGCATTGAGTGCTATGAATTTCCCTCTTAACACTACCTAAGCCATGTCCCAGAGATTGTAGTATGTTGTATCTTTGTTCTTATTAGTTTCAAAGAGCTTCTTGATTTCTTCTTAATTTCATTATTTATCCACAAGTCATTCAGCAACATGTTGTTTAATTTCGGTGTAATTGCATGGTTTTGAGTGATTTTTTCTTAGTCTTGACTTTTATTCTTATTGTGCCATGGTCTGAGAGCGTGTTTGGTATGATTTTGATTCTTTGGCATTTGCTGAGGATTGTTTTATGTCCAATTAAGTAGTCAATTTTAGAGTGTGTGCCATGTTGCAATGAAAAGGATGTATGTTCTCTTGCTTTTGGGTGGAGAGTTCTTTAGAGATCTGTCAGATCCATTTGGTCCATTGTTGAGTTCAGGTCCTGAATACTTTTATTAATTTTCTGTGTTGATGATCTAATACTATACCTGGAGCACTGAAGTCTCCCACTATATTGTGTGGGTGTCTATGTCTCTTTGTAGGTCTCTAAGAACTTGCTTTATGAATCTGGGTGCTCCTGTGTTAGGTGCATATATATTTTGAATAGTTAGGTCATCTTGTGGAATTGAACCCTTTACCATTATGTAATGCGCTTTGTTATCTTTTTTTTTTTTTAATCTTTGTTGGTTTTAAGTCTGTTTTGTCTGAAATTAGGATTGCAACCCCTGCTTTTTTCTGTTTTCCATTTGCTTGGTATATTTTCTTCTATCCCTTTATTTTGAACCTACAGGTGTCATTACATGTGATATGGGTCTCCTGAAGACAGCATATCATTGGGTCTTGCTTTTTATCCAGCTTGCTGCTCTGTGCCTTTTAAGTGGGGCATTTAGCCTATTTACATTTAAGGATAGTATTGATAAGTATGAATTTCATCCTGTCACTGTGTTTTTAGGTGGTTATTATGCTGGCTCGTTTCTGTGATCGCTTTATGGTGTCACTGGTTTGTGTATTAAAGTGTATTTTTGTATTAGCTGGTAGTGTTCTTTCCTTTCTATATACAGTGTTCCTTTTTAGATCTCTTATAAGGCAGATATGATAATAATGACCTCTCTCAACATTTGTTTATATAAAAAGGATCTTATTTCTTCTTCACTTAGAAAGCTAGTTTGGCTGGATATTAAATTCTTGATTAAGGTTTTTCTCTTTAAGAATGTTTATATAGATTCCCAGTTTCTTCTGGCTTGTAGAGTTTCAGCTGAGAGGTCTGTTGTTAGCCTGATGGGTTTCCCTTTGTAGGTGACCTGCTCTTTTCTCTAGCTGCTTTCACATTCTTTTTTTAATGTCAACCTTGGAAAATCTGACAATTATTTGTATTGGGGTTGATTTTGTGTGGAGTCTTGCAGGAGTTGTCTGTATTTCCTGAATTTGACTGTTGGCCTCTCTAGCAAGGCTGGGGAAGTTTTCATGGACCATATCCTGAAATATGTTTTCCAAGTTGTTTGCTTCCTCCCCCCGCCACTTTAAGTGATGCCAGTGATTCGTAGATTTGGCCTCTTTACATAATCTCATACTTGTCGAGGTTTTGTTCATTTATTTTTATTCTGTTTTCTTTATTTTTGTCTGACTCTCTTATTTCAGAAAACTTCTGAATGGTCTTTAAGTTCTGAGATTCCTTCCTCAGCTTGGTTTATTCTACTGTTAATACTTGTGACTGCATTGTGACATTCTTGTGTTGTGTTATTCAGCTCTGTCGGATCCACTAAGTTCTTTTTATACAGGCTCTTTCCTCCTTCAGCTCCTGTATCATCTTATTGTGATTCTTACTTTCCTTCAATTGAGTTTTGCTGTTCTCCTGAATCTTGATGATCTTAGTTCCTATTCATATTCTGAATTCTATTTCTGTCATTTCAGCCAGTTCAGCCTTGTTGAGAACTCTATTTGGAGAACTGGTATGGTCATCTCTAGGACATACAACACTCTAGCCATTTGAGATACTGGAGTTCTTGCATTGTTTCTTTCTCATCTCTGTCTGTGGGTGTTCCTTTAACTGCAGTATAGATTGAGTGCAGTCAATAGACTTCTATTCTGGATGTTTTCACAGAGCCGAGGCTTTGTGCAGCATTTTTATTTGAAGCTGACTTTTTGTCTTTGGTTTCAGAATAGGGTATGTTAGCGAGGTGTTTTTGGTGTCAACGCTTTGGGGTGTGATCCAGTAAGTGGCATTTATGCATATTGGTCAGTTGGTAGACTCTTGCTTGGTTATGTGCCTCCCCTGTGTTTCTTCACAGGTGCAGCCATGTTACCTTTCAATGCTCTGAAAGTGTGGGTTTCTCTCCCCCTTCAGTGCTGGCTGTAGATAGTGACTTGGCATTCCTTGGCTGCCCATTCCCACTCTGGGGCAATCTCAGTGTTTATGTTCCTTCCCCAATTTGGAGGCAGCAGAGGAAGGGACCTTAGTAGTGGTTGTGATCAAGGGTCTTTTGCTTATCTTCTGGGGGCTCCACCCCAGAGAGATGCAGTCAGCCCAGAATGGAGGATCTGTGCCATGGGCCCAAGCCAGGGGTTCCCTGTCTGGTGATGAGCAGTAGTGGGTGGCTGGGACCCATGGGAGACAGTCTGGCCTCCTCTCCTTAGGTTGACTGCAGCTTGTTGGAGACATGAATAAGACCTTTAGGGTCTTTGCTTCTTTATTATTCCAAGGGTAACAAGGGCAGTTCCACTGCAGAGGCAGTGGCAGAGAGGCTTTTGGTTGCCCCTGGGGGCTCTGTCCAGGGAGCTGCAGAGCTGCTACTGGCTCAATAGCCCTGGTGGGGCGTGGCTGGAGGCCCAGGCCTAGAGGACCTACCCAGTGAGGAGATGTGGAAATGGGAACCCACATAACAGTCTGGCCACTTTTCAATAGGGCTGCTGCCATGTGCTAGGGGCCCACTCCAGTCCCTAGTCACCTCAGATTTTCTGGTACCTAGAGATATCAACAATGAAGGCTGCAAAACAACAAAGATTGTGGCCTCCCCTTCCCTCTGGGAGCTCCATTCTAGAGAGGTACAGACCAATTGCCAGCCTAAATGCACCAGTAGGAGGTGGCTGGAGACCACAGCTGGGAGGTCCTCCCAAGTGAGGAAGAATGGGATTAGGACACCTCCTTTAAAAAGCAGTCTGGCCATGTTTTTACAGAGCAGCTGTGCTGTGCTGGGGGTCCAGTTCAGTCCCTGGTCACCTCAGACACTCCAAAGCCCAAAGGTTGGAACAGCTAAGTCACCCAAACAGCAAAGATGGAGACCTGCCTTTCCTTCTTGGAGCTCTCTTCCAGGAAGGTTGGAACAGGTTTTATTTCTTAATAGACCACCATGTCCACAGAAAACTCTGAACTCACTGATAACGCCTGCTTTCAACTTCACCTCAGTTATTCATATAATTTTTCTTCTTTAAGAAAAAGTTTAAATCTTTTTTGAAAAATAATCATGTACAAGACTCAATTCAGCTGAAGATCATCTGAACTCATAATGAAAATTTTGAATTGTTGTCAGTGGTAGCTCTGGCAGGGCCCAATGAAGGTTTTTTTGTGCTATTTCAAAATTGTATCATTGTTTACATTTCAAAGAGATTTTACATTATTTTAAGGATAAATTTATGTTATTTAATATCTCTTACTATATCCTATTTTTTCCTAACAGCAGAAAGAAATTGTTGGTATTGTGTAGAAAGTCTTTATAAGTGATATTCTTATATTGTTTCTAAATAGTTATTTTAAAAATTAATAAGTAAATCACAGAAAGTACTGTCTACCTGTAGTCTAAAATATGTGTTTAAAATAATAAGACAAAAAATTAGTAATTTTTTAGCTTATACCTTCAGCAAATATTACAAATGATGCCTCAGTGGCCCAATCTTATTTGTCTTCACAAACTGTAACTTAGCAAAGAAATATCATTTTCTCCCACTCATAACTCTTCACCCCTACACAAATATTTATGTGTATTCACAGGTTAAGTTCTAATTTTGAAGTTTTTTGTGTTTGGAAAGACAAATGTGATGGTTTTCTTTGATGAGGTTCACAAAGGCATATATGACACTTATTTCTTCGTGTAGTCACTCTGCTTGTAGAAATTTATTCCCTTCCACTGACACCTCACTTCACAGACCACAAGCCAAACAAAGTTGCATTTCTAAGGGTACGTCAGGGTATTTAAAATGAAAAACTTGAGTTATATATAAAACTGGATGACATATACTAACAAAGTTTTGGAGCAGGACTCTCTGTCAATAAGGGACGTACTGGAGATTTTAGGAATCTATACAAAGAGACAGAACTACCTCCAAGGGAATCCACACTTGGATGAGTAAACATGGTAAGCCAAAGGACTCAAAAGCCCTTTTAAACAGTTGAAATCTGAATTAATTTCAGCCTGGTGAACAGTATTCAATACTACAAGGGAAAGGTTGAGAAGTTGGAACTGCCACAAAATGAACATTAAAAACCGTGAGTTACAAGAGGAACAATGTGAGTAGAAACAGTCGTAGACTCATGGAAGCTTTAGGAGAAAGATTACTTTATAGATCATCATCTGGTCTGACTCTTTCATTTCACAAATGAGGAATCTCAGTGAAAGACATAAAGTCACTGTTCAAGGTCACTTTCCTGTGACACAGTTTGCACCAGCAGCCCTGAGTATCCACATTCCTAAATGTTTCCACTACCCCACTGAGATGACAGAGTGGTAAAGGACGCATGAAGAAGAGACAGAAAGTAGATTATCAGGACATAAAGAAAGTTTGAGAGGTTGAATTAGGAAAACAAAATCCAGAGTGGAAATTGGGATGAGACTTGCAGTGTCATGAAGTGAATCAGGGTAAAAATAGTTCAGGAGTTTCTGAAAGTGGCAATAAACAAAAATCAAAGTTGAGCAGTGGAAATACTGTTGGGTTTATTTAAAGATCCCTGTTCTTTCCAAGGTGCAGAGAATAACTGGAGGTGGTTTTAATGGAGCTAGAGACTCAAAACTTGTGGAAGCTATGGCCATAAGCTGTAGTGCAGAGGAACTCTAGTAGAGGACGGATGTGTAGCACATTATGACTGTGGGGTACAGGAGCCCAGGTGGTTGCAAAGAAGCCAGTCCCATTCCTAATGGCTAGCTTTGGTGAGTAGGTGGAAGACAGGTGTTTAAAAAGAGGAGCAAAGCAGACATTGTTAAGTATAATCCACTTCTTTGGTCCATCTGCAGCCTGCCTGCCCTGAGTACACCCAGCTCTAGCCTTTTGGTCAAGTACATTCTCTGATTGTCCATGAGGTACAGCACCATTTTGGAACATGCCAGAGCATCAAGGTCCTCTTCACACCGGGCAGTATTTTTCATCCGAATCCCTCACCTCTCAATGAATAAGCATTTCAGTTGGTTATCTGGTACACATACCAATAATACTGATTGAAACAAAATGATCTAAACAATATATTCTCATGTGAAACTTGTAATAGAAAATATCCAAGTAAAGAATTCCATATGAAAGGCAGATCAAAATACATCAATCAACCATAAAATAAATAAATTTCATAGTTCCAAAGATAAATCAGCTTTCAACTCTAAATGTTACCCTAACCAGTTTTTCTTCGCCAAAAATATGGGATAGAAAATTTGAATCTTTAAAAAAAACCTCACAAGTCACCCTAGTTGGCAGACTGTGTCTTTCCACAGATACTTGCCATTGGTTATCTCCTAGGGAGCAAGTTTCAGCATTTGCACTCTTAGTAAATTTTTCTAGCAGCAGCCTATCTCAAAGAGACATTAAGACAGGCTGGACAGACAAGGCTGGTAGAGAGTTAAGAATTAAGGACTATTTTTTCAACTACTATTATCATTATATAATTAGTTTATGAATGACTTAAGTTTACTGGCACTCTGCTAGGTATCATCCAGAAAGCACTCTTCTGTAGGAGCCCACATGTTCAGAACAAAATAATTTGGATAATTTGAGTTCTAAAAATCCTCTTGAAATTTTCTGTAGCCCAAGAGAATAAGTAGCAGGTTTATTTGTTCAGGTGAATGAGTAACGGATTTTGAAGAGAGAGCTCTGTCTGATCAATGGAACCATCTGCCCTAGTCTTATCTCTGAAATAAGCAAAGGGCTTGGATGAATGCATAGCATAGTATATAATAGCTGGGGTTGCCATTACAAAATACCATTGATTGGGTGGCTTAAACACCACTTATTTCTCACAGTTCTCAAGGCTAAGCAGTCCAAAATCAAGGTGTCAGTAGATTCCATTTTTGGTGAGGGCTTTCTTCCTGGCTTCCAGACAGCTGCCTTCTCACTGTGTATTCACAAAGTGGAGAGACAGCAAGAGAGAGCAAATTCTCTGGTCTCTTCCTATAAACGTATTAATCCCATCATGAGAACCCCACCCTCATGACCTCATCTAAACCTAAATACCCACCAAGACCATTCCTCCTAATACCATCACACTGGGGGTTATGGCTTCAACATATTTGAGGGACATAGAAATTCAGTCCATAACAGTATGCCATACCAGCACCATTTCCACTAAACTAAGAACAAGACATTTTTATTTTCCTTCCGATATATATTTTGGTAAACACAGACATTGATAATAATCCCTGTAAATTAGATTCTTAATATTCTTAGGAAAAATCATGATTTAATTTTAAAATCTGGAAAGTTGTTTCTTCTCCAATTAAATGTATTTTCACTGTTGGATGGCTTAGTCAACAGCATGCATGCTGCTGTGAGCAGCAAGAGTCCCCCAAATTAGAGGAACGATTTATTGAACCTCAGCTGGGCTCATATTAGCATTCTAGCCCACAAAAATGCTTTTTGTTTTACAAACTTTTGGAAATTTCCACCTTCAATATTGATATTAACTACACAGAGGGTAAGATTAAAAGAATGGAAATTATAGTTAGTGCTTCTCCTTCAAATATATTATGTGCTGGTGAAAAAAAGCAGGAGGAACCAACTCTGCCTTAGCAATTATTTACTTCTTTGCTGCTGCTGCCTCTGCCTCCTCCTCCTCTTCCTTCTTTTCTTCCTCTTTTCCCATCCTCCCCCTCTTCCCTTCTGTGAAAATTAAACAAAACCCAATTTTGGTTACTTATGCACTTTCATAAGAAGTAAAGCAATAAAGGAGAGAGATAGATGCCTCACTCTGTCACCTAGGCTGAAGTACAGTGGCAAGATTGTAGCTAACTACAGCCTCAGCTTCCAAGGCTCAAGTGATCCTCCCACCTTAGCCTCCCAAGTAGCTGGGACTACAGGTGTACACCACCATGCTCATCTGATTTTTGTATTTTTTGTAGAGAAAGGGTCTCATTATGCACCCAGGGTAGCTTCAAACCCCTGGGCTCAAGCAATCCTCTGGCCTCAGCCTCCCAAAGTGCTGGGATTATAGGGATAAGCCACCCCCCTTGTTCAAAGTAATACTCTTAAATGGGGGATGGATAAGGAAATCTCTTTCTTCTTTGGCTCCAAAGTAATGCTAGACATCTAAACTCCTATCAGATGTATCATTCTCATTGAAAACTAGTAAGATTTCACATTAATCCATTTTTATTATCTTTTCTTCAATACACATAGTAAGAAAAGCCAAGAGGGAAAATGTAGAGAGATAGCAAAATTCCATTTAGCAGAAAAATGGCATTACTCCATAGCAGTGACAAACAGAAATCTTAATAATTATTAATATCTCAATAATTTTTGATGATAAAAATGAGCTAACCTTTAAGCCCTTGAGTTAAAGCTAAGTGGAAGCCAAAATATGTATGACTGAGCCCTCAATTATCCACTGATGCAGACAGATGGACAAACCTTTCCTGATGCTGGAATTTCCTCATTATTTTAAGGCCATTTTATCCAGGATGTTAATGCTGTGAAATATTTTCTATATTTTATATAGGACTTTTAAAAGGTTTTCTCATATTTCTGGGTAAAGTTTTCTAAATGTGCTCTATGGAAATTTCCCCAGCAAAAAACTATATCCTGACTTTAACTTTTATGTGAAACATATGCCTCTCCTTCTGGCTCCTCCACATTCTTTCACAAACGTGTAAGTCATAGAAGCAACTTCAAGAGGTTTGTGTCTAGACTGTAGGTGGATATGGCTTTCAGAGATAGAACAGGAAGCCAGGACCAGGAAAAATAGGGCAAGACTAAAAATAAATGTCAGACACCATGCAAGGAGCGTACCCAGTGAGTGACTGAAAGGACAGGGCTCCACAGTCTGGAGGCAGTGCGAAGTCAGTGTAACACCAGAGATGGAGCAAACACTAAGTGGGTGATAGGGTTTGGATTTGTGTCCCTGGCCAAATCACATGTCAAATTGTAATCCCCAATGTTGGAAGAGGGGCTTTGTGGGAGGTGATTGGCTCATGGGGGTAGATTTCCCCCTTGCTGTTTTCGTGATACTGAGTTCTCTTGAGATCTGGTTGTTTAAAAATGTGTAGCACCACCCACTTCTCTCTTTTCCTCCTGCTTATGCCATGTAAGATGTGACTCCTTCCCCTTCACCTTCTGCCATGATTGTAAGTTTCCTGAGGCCTCCCCAGCCATGCTTCCTGTATAGCCTACAGAACCGTAAGCCAATTAAAACCTCTTTTCTTTATAAATTACCCAGGTTCGGGTATTTCTGTATAGCAATACCTTCCTTGCGTATTACAATGGACTAATACAGTGAGAAACTGACACGGTTTAGCTGCTTCTATTCTTCTATACCATTGCTTTACTCAGCTGTCTTCCATAACTGATTATAAGCCACTTGAGATCAAGGATTTTGACTTATTTCATTTACTTCTAGAATTATTCTTTATATTATTGGGCAAAATAGGAACTCAATAAATAATGAATGAATGATTGAATATGGTTGGAGCCAACTACAGATAAGGCCTGTCAAACCATAGAAACAAAACAATATGCTAAACAAGTATATATCTACTAATTATAAAAGTTGGTCTAAAGGGTAGAATCCATAATATCTACATTTCAACCATGAAGAGTGAAGAGTTAAAATTTCTTTTACTTCACAATCTATCAAAGTTCAGAAATGCAGAGCTAAAAATGGAGATTATCTTTCCTCAATGGTTTTTATCCATGGTGGAATAAGAGGATCCTTCCTAGCTACATGAATCTCAGTGAAGTAGTAATGAGGACCTCCACAGGATTCTAAGCTTCTTAAAAGCATAACTATAATTTATAATAAACTTTGCACAATAAACATTTGTTAATGTTGCTACTGATGACTCTTCAAAAGCTTTCTGATTTAAAGAAGAGCTGTTAATTTTGGCAGGAGACATGCCTAAAAGCCTGCATTTAAGCTTATGGCTAATGGAAAGGACACCAGAAATGTTCAGTTATTTTAGGGTTTCCTGCCCTAGTCTTAGTGTTTATTAACATTTCAAAACCAAGTTTTAATAAAACAACTAAATTATTCCCATAATAGCACAGTGCTAAACATGGAATGAGCAGGAAGGTAGGGCTGAAAGAGCTGGTTTGAGGTTCTTTCCACCTCAAATGTTAAAATGCAAGTGTGATGTCAATGGATTATTTTCAAAGCTTTCCGAAAACAAACATGACTTTATCTGGGGCAAAGATGAGAAAAAAGAACTAATCTGGATACTGATGTAATTGGTATTAATTTCGTCAAATATTTACACCATTAAAAAAGAGAGCTGGTTTCAAATACTGACCTAAAAATAGATAATGCTTATGAAACAAATTTGAAGGTGTTTTCAATGAATATGAATTTTAAATATATGTTTGATTTTTTTAAACAATTATATTAAATTTAAAAATTTATAGAATAGATATTAAATATATTGTTTGATATTTTAAAAATACATGTCAAATATATATTTTAAATTATAAGTTCAGTAATTTTTGTATTGTTAAAATAAAAACATTCTTGTTTGTATTTTAAATTACTTCACCCAAAAAGTTTGAAATTCAAATAAGACAGAAGATTAATTATATAGAGAAATGTTAATATAGACTATTAGGTGACACAAAGGATTTGTTGTTAATCTTATTAGGTATGAAAATAGAAATGCAGTTACATAAAAATTTTCTATAATTTTAATAATGTACACTGAAGTATGTGGAAGTAAAACAACATGTAAAATTTGTTTTAGAATACTTCAGAAAAAATAGAGTGAGAGTAAATAAAACAATTAGGGCAAAATCATGAAAACTATTGAGTCTGATGGTTTATATGGATTTGATTTATTTTTCTTTCTAAATTTGTATGTTTAAATTTATTTTTTAATAATAAAGGGTTGTTGTTTTTTTCCTAAGTTTTTGAATCTAAGCCAGTAGATTCTTGTGGCTATTATATAACTTTCATTTCCAAAGTGAAATCCATCATATAGTCTGGTATATGTAGGTGTTTTATCTATATGCATGAATTGAATAAACTAATGAAAGGCAGATTGATTCAAAGCATAACAAACATTTTACAAACTGGTTCATTACTGAATTATAATAAACTCTTATTTTAAAATATTTTTCAATGTTAGCTTAGTAAATATATATATTATTTATGTTATTCATTTCTCATTTATCTTTTAAAAAACATTATATTTTTAATCAAAATTCATGCTCTTTAATTCTTTTAAGTATTAAAACTCCTAGCTAATTAGGGCTAACACTCTGCATAAATATGAAAAATATAAAATGTATAGACATTAGGTAAAGTTCTAATCAGAAGGCAGGGTTAGGCCTTCATTATGTGGCTTCACTCTGAAGTGATGTGAATTCCTAAAACACAAAATATGTTAAAATTCAAACATAAATGCAAAAACATTTCAAATATGATATTTCAAATGATTCTCCCCTTTGTTCTTCTAAACTAGCATGTATATTTTTAATCCATGGTATGAATATTTTCTGGCAAACTCACCTTAGATCCTTTCTATAAGAAGCAAGATAAAATATATAGATAAATAATAAAATAAATATTCTGGCTAGCTAAATTTGGTATGTGGTGATCAGTATTCCACAGTTTTTGTCCAATTTCCAGAGCGGATTTATTCCTAGGATCTTGTTCTTAAGCACTTTAGCAATTCTTCTGTCCTGTAGTTGGCAGAGATAGGAAATTTCCTCTCTGGAGGTGACCTCTGTCCTGCTCAGTGGATTAGATGACTGCATGGTTACAGTCCATTGGCTTTGATCCTGGCATGCAAATGTTCTACTCTGCTCTGCACAATCCCTCTTTCTCCCTTGCAGGCTGATCCTTTGTTAGCAGCAAACACCCTCACTGCAGGCTTGTCACAATGATTTAGTAAAGGCATATTTTACCGAAATAAGAAGCCCAATGGTGTTGCTGGAACTGATCAAAAGCCATCAGTGAGCTGACAGATTGTTATTTATGCAAGATTGGCCTTGGGTCTTTTGGAGGAAGAAACCTCCACATATACACGAGGAAAGCCAATGCTTGGTCACAAAACTGATGTCTAAGAGAAAGGAAAAATGTTTTTCCAAGTAGAAAGGTACATAGTTTTGAATAAATGAATGGATAACCCATATCTTTATAGATCCTCCGATAAAAAATTCCATTTTTTATTTACCCGCCATTAATTCACTCATTTATTCTTTCATTCTCTCTGCTCCATAGAATTTACATTATAGTAGTGGGTTTTGACAAGTAATCAGGCATCAAGTAACCGGGAGACACAGAGAGATACGATTTACTTCCATAGTTCATTGTTCTCCTCTCCACTTACCCATTGGACTCCATTTACAGCTGGACTAAAATAGAAAGCAGTATGGTATTTTCCAGGTAATTGAGGGCAATTTCTGCCTCTGCACTTCCATAGGAGAAGAGTTGATTAGTAGGACACATAGCATCAAGGATACTTAGCCGTGTGAACTGAATCAAAGAGATGACCTAATCATTCTCAGTAAAGGTGGCCCAATGCCAGTATGGAAGCAAGGAAAAGTTATGAAGCCATAGAAAGGGTAGTGAGATTGGCCTTTAATGGCACTAAAAGTGGAGAGAGTTAAGAAACCTATCTGAGTAAGAGTGGGATACTTAATATTATTTTTGGTTACCTGATCCTTAAACTCCCGGGCAAGTTTTCATCCCCCTCCCCGGAGTCCTCCTTCTACCTTCATATTCCATTCTAACTTCTGCCAACTTTTCTTTTTGGGAGGCACAGTGTCACAATATGAAACACTGCTAAATTTACTGATTATTATTTCTTCTGCACATGTTCTCACAACCCGCCTTACGTTAGTCTACAATGAGGATTATCATTTCTAAAATAAAAAGGAGGAATCTGTTGAATTTAATGGTATCTTTGCCACTATTTTCGTAATTTATTGATTCTTCATGTTCATTGTAAAAATTTCTCTCTTATCTTCCCCTAACAGTAAAAACATATTGTCAATTGAGCAGAAGACCTGACAGATGCATTACAGTTTACAGGCAAAGACTAGATCTTCAGGAGATAAGCAGAGAAAGAGCAATAAGTTGTATGAAACAAAGCTTTTATAATACAAATCCTAGATATTTGAGTTATTTTTGCCAAATTAAAATCTATCTCACAGAAATTATGTTATGCATATAATACAACATGTATTATTTCATATAATACAACATGTATTATTTCATATAATACTGCAGAAAGTTGCTTACTTTAGGTGATGGAAATAAGGAGGAGGAAGTTATAAAAACAACACATTATTTGAAGTCAATAGTTATTCTGGTTCTACTAATTTTCTGTGTAGTCTTGAGATAATCACAACATCTTTGGTCTATAATGATCTCATTCATAAAATGAGGTTAATAATTTTGAGAAAAGCTGGAAAAATACATAATATATATGAAAGTACTTTGAATAAATTTTAAGTAAACATTATAAACAGAGGACTTAAGAAAGAAGGACTTCTTTGAACAGTTGGATAATTGAATTAGTGGTGCTAATCTCCATGTGGGTCTTGATTTATTTATGCACTTTTCAGGTAGTTTAGTCTTATTTGCCAAAATGAAAATCGCATATACTGGATTTGGAAAAAGAATCCCAGTGGTGTCACTTTAGCAATGCAAGTGTGGTGTTTAGGGGCTGATACCTAATCCTCTGGATAAACTTCCTCTAGTCCTCATAGATATATGTGGTATATACCTCATAGGTATATGGTAATGTTTGCCAGCCACATTAGCAGACAGGGCTGTGTGGAAGTATCCTGTGATTCTTTCCTTTAATACTGACCTCATGGCTCCCCCAAAGTGAGGTAACACTTCAGAACACTATACACTGCTCCACAAGCAAAAGAAAACATTTGGGGGAGTAGGATGCCACTTTTTAGTTCATTTTCTGAATGAAAGAAGAAAACCAGAAGCAGTGAATGTTATTTTCGTCTGACCTCAGTTTTTATTCACTCAGAGATGGTGAGACAGTCCATCCACATTTCCATGCCATACCCACATTTCCCTAGAAGTTAGTTTTGTCTGTCCATTTCATTTTGTTTGAAAGCTTTGAAGGCCAAAAACAGCACATTTCCATAGATTCCCGTCTTACTGGAGATGCATGGGCTGGTCTGAAAGAAAACTAGAGCTTTCAGATTCTGTTTGAATTGGTAAGGTACTGTAAGTTGAACCATTGCAGTAAGGTCCATGTTTTCAGCAGATTTTAGAGCAGAGTCCCCAAACTGTAAAGCAACATCTGCTGCTTCAGCGCCAGCCACACGCCAATTACTGTTAAAGAGATTTTTGCCTGGGCCAGATGCAGTTCTTATGATTAAATTCGTCTGTGCATTTCTTGTATGCAGCGCATTTTCTACAGAGGGCTCTCAGCCAGCTCTGAAGGGTGAATAGAGCTTAATACAACACTAGGCTGTAATGATGCCATTTGTCAGTTTTCTAAATCTTGTAAAAGAGTGCAATTAAGTCAGTTTTCTAAAAGTTTAAGGTTTCTTTCTTTCTTTCTTTCTTTCTTTTTACAACCAATCTTAAAAGTAGTCATCCTGCAAATTTTTATATACCTCAGCCAGTGTTTTTATATTCTCTGCAGTTTAGGACTAATAACAATTGTTCCTCAAAGGAGGGATCATCAAGGAGATACCAGAGTTTTAAACAAGGAGGACTCACAGGGTGCTGTGACATCAAGAGCTGCTGCTTGTGAGTGAGGAAAAAATCTTTTGGAAACAGGAGATGAAATTATAGTCATCATTTATAAAACAGGCTCTACAATAATGTTTGCACAATGAGGCACACAAGAATACTATGGATGATTTTTGTTTTGATTTTACAGAACTTGTAGTTTCATATCATTTGGATTTTATTTGGAGCATTATGCTGTTTTAGTTTTCATCCTTTTTTTAATAAAAATTCAATATGTACCTACTATGTGCCACATTCTTAAAAAAGAAAAAAATCACTATTTTCAAGGACTTCATAATTCATACCAAAAAAATTATGACAAGAAATTTTTAAAAACAATATGAGAGAAATGTGCAGGGTCCTGTGGTAACAGGAGAGAATGACATTGATAAAAGTCATTTGCTATATTGGTGTAGTTTAAAAAAGAAAAAAGCTAACAGCTTTCCAAAGCACCTCAATTGTGTACAAATCATCCCCCATGCTGTGAAAATCAGATCTAACCTACAAGCTATAAATGTGAAAAGGAATAAGACTAAGAATGTACCCCAGATTTGATCCATGATTTATGAGGAAATTGGATATCTCAAAATTGCTTTGGTTATAGAAGAGTCATTTAAAGCAGGCTCATAGAAAAGTCTATCTAAAGTATTTTCAGAATTGGTCAGATAACATTTTGTAAAGAAGTTAGAGTTATTTCATTAATGAATAGGTTCACACATACACACAACACAGCCTGCATCCCTCGGGGAAGAGAATTGTAGAGGAGTGGGAGAAGATAATTATAATAAGCACCAGGCCTGTCCCTTTGTGTAATTGGTTGGGGGCCAGGAGAACGCCTGGCAACATTGACACCCAGTTGTCTTCTAAGCATTGCTGATTTTAGAGAACTATGCTGTGCACTGTGTTCCTAGACTAGAGAGAAAATTGACAAAAGGAAGGGAATTAGGTGGATGCTGTGGAGATTACAGGTTCACTTTCTTTCTGAGTCACATTCCAAGAATGATGCCATGAGAAATTTGCCTCCTCTTTTCAATCCTAAAGTGTTTATATTTGGGCTTAAGCCAGCACTAGAGAATTAGGCATCTTGTGCTTTGTATAGAGGAGTTGCTGGTTTATTTTCCAAACAACTGGCTGAGATCCTGTGGAAAACAACATTAAAACAACATTTGCAAACCAGATTGCAAACAGGAAACTCCATGTACAAAAAGATATTTTTGCTATTTGATTTTAATCATCTCTGCCTAAATGTTTCAGGAAGTATCTCTAGCTAAAATTATATCTATTTTACATGTAACCAAATACCTCATTTCTTTTGGGGACATATATGAGAGTGTAACATAGGAAAGATCTAGAGTTGATCCTTCTGTGGCAGGTCAGAAATATTTCTGTTCTTTGTGCTTCTGTTCTGGAATAAACTTAGAAATTAACTAGTATACATCATGTCCTGGTGGTGGGATGGGGGGAAATGGAGAAAGTACACATTGTAACAAGCCCAGCTCCCCAACCCTAGGCCCAAAAGTTTGGAAGGGCTTCAAAGTACCCCCTGCAGCCTTTGACCAAAGCCTGGCAGCTCCAAAGAGGAGCTCAGTAATGGGAACAAAGACTGCCAAATACGTTGTGTGCCAATGCCAGTCAAAGTGAGCTGGCAGAAAGAGCAGCCAGCAAACCAACAGTGCCAAGGTAATAGAGGCCAGGATGGCAGGATGGTAGGAGGTGGGAGATGGTTTCCAAGGAGCAGGATTGTTTTTAATTACTTGCTGTAGTGTTACTACTCAGCTTTGTTCTCTCTGATTGTATATGGATTGTTTCAATCCTACATCCATCATTTCCTCTGACAGGGTTAGAAAGCCAGAGAATGTACAGGGACGTGCTACCAAATTGGGTAGGAATAGGCTTTGACATGAGTGAGACAACCATAGCAGGCTGGGCTGGAAAGCCCACTTCTCCAGATGATGTATCCCAATGGAGATAAGGCTTTTGCTACACTGAATTCTAGCAACTGGTAATGCAGTGTGTCTAAGAAGCAATTTAAGAAGCCCTAGCAGGGCTTTCGATTTATTTCAGTTAATTTATTCATTCTTATTCTCTACCTTCTGTTTCCAAATTGTTTTATAGTGTTTACTAGGACAGGGCAATCTCCATGTCCACGCTGAATGGAATAGCAAATCATAATAGTAGTGGTGGTAGTAGTAATAACTCATATGTTTTAAGCAGCTGCTATTTAATCATTATAACCACGATGCAAAGAAGATATTATCATTCCTGTTTTACAGGTGGCATCTACAAGAGATTAAAGTTAAAAGAGATACAGAAAAGCCTACAGCCAAGAATACTCCAGAGATGAGTGCTCTGATGGCAGAATACCGTGATGGGAGGTGGTGACTCAAAAAGGGTCACCTAACTTAGATTCGCCGGGACAGGAGAGAGGTAGATGAGAGAGGGTTGTTAGAGGAAGTGATATTTAAATTGAATAATGAGGAATAAATAAGAATTAGCCAGGCAATGGGCAAGGAAAGGGTATCTAGGCAAAGAAAACACTTGTACAGAAGTCTTAATAATGAGATCATATCAGCTCAAAGTGGCTGGAACATAGAGTGTGAAGGGAGCATAGGTGAGAGATGAGGCCAGAGAGTTCAACAGAGAGCAAGATGGAAGTCTTTCTAGTCCTTGTGGGGAAGTTTAATTTATTTTTAGACAAATGAAAATATTTGAATGGTTTAAAATAGGGGAGAGAGAAAATCAGATTTGCAATTCAGAGAACAAATCGCAGACAGGAGAAATGGAAGACAAAGTACCCAGAAAAAGGGTAATTCCAGCCATCTAGGTAAGTACTGGTGATGTTCTGAATAAGAAAACATCTTTAGAAAGAAGAATCCCTGGGCATGGTGATTTGAATGAGGGTAGGGGGTGGAGTGGGGGAAGAAGATAATCAAGAATGCTACCCACACTAAAATTGTGCAGACAAATGTGCTACTCACTAAAATAATAGGTACAGGAAGGAGGAAGAAGAGTGACAGAGAGGAGTGGGGGGTGATGAAGAACGGTTAGGCAATCCTGGATTTGGACACATTGAAAGGGAGAAGGCTGTAAGTGATCTAAGTAAGAATTTCTAGTAGGTAATGTGATACATGGCTCTGAAGCTAAGGTGAGAAGCATTAGCTAGAGATACAGATTCGCAGTTATTGGCATGGACTTAATTTTTCTGTAGAGTAGCAATATCTTTATAACAAACAGCATGAAAGAAGTGCCTTCTGCTTTCCCCATGAAAACTGTTGGTCACAGGGGTACTCCCAGGCAGCTAGACCATAATTTACATAAGCTCTGCACATGAAGCCCATCAAATCTGGAACTACAAATTCAAAGACCATTTCTTTTATATTTGCAAACTTTCAGACAAAAGAAAGGATGCTGGACCTGTTGGCTCCCTGCTGGAGAATGTATGTGTCCCATTGTTTGTCCATTTGTTCATCTCAGCCATTTACCAGACCTGTCTAGAAACCCATACTGTTCTGTTTGCTTGTTCTCTCTCCCTGCTAAAGGACACTAACCTTTCTTGCAACAAGTCCTGCTCCTAGCTAAGTAATCACCTGACAGGTACTTTTTGCCTGCTGCACAGATAAAACAAATTCACCAAGACAGTGATAATGTGATAGAGAAAGAATTTAATTAACCTGGGGCTAGACAAGCAGAATTTTATTACTCAAATCAGCCTCCCTCAGCACTTGAAGGCTAGGGCTTTTAAATGAATAATTTGCTGGGCGGGGACTAGGAAATGGGTGCTACTATTGGTTGGGAATGAAATCAAGGGGGTATGAAAAACAGTCCTCCTGCACTGGCTCCACCTCTGGATGGGGGCCGCAGGACTGGTTGAGTCATGAGTTGCAGGTGCAGGTGGAATCAGTACCAGAATGCAAAATTCTGAAAAACATCTCAAAAGGCAAATCTTAGCTTCTGCACTAGTGATGTTGTCTATAGAAGCAATTGTGGAAGTCACAAATCTTGTGATCTCTGGCCACATGACTTTTGAGCAGTAAAGGATTATCGGAAAATAAGCTAGGGAAAAATGGCTGGCTATTTTGGAACCATGCCTACCTCTTAGCAGAATTCATACCCCTCCCATAATCCTAATCTTGTGACTTTTCAATAGTCTTACAAAGGCCTTTTCAGTCCCCAAACAGGGAGGAGGTCAGTTTTAGGGAGAGACTATTATGATCCTTGCTTCATAGTTAAACTATAAATTACTCCCATGGTTAGCCTGGCCCATTCCCAGGAATAAGCAAGGACAGCCCATCTATGAAGCTAGAAGCAAAATGGAGTCAGTCATGCTGGACTTCTGTCACTGTCATAATTTTCTGTATAGAAAACCGACTAATACACCCACTTACTCTCTTAGAGTATCTACTATAACTGCTTTAAAGGAATACCTGAGACTGGGTGACTTATAAAGGAAAGAGGTTTAATTCACTCACAGTTCTGCATGGCTACGGAGGTCTCAGGAAACTTATAATCATGGCAGAAGGGGAAGCAGGCACCTTCTTCACAAGGTGGCAGGAGAGCGAGCTAGTGAAGGAGGAACTTCCAAACACTTATAAAACCATAAGATCTCATAAGAACTCACTCACTATCATGAGAACAGCATGGGGAAAACCGCCCCCATGACCCAATCACCTTCCTCCCTCAAGGGGATTACAGGTCCCTCCCTTGACATTTGGGGATTACAATTTAAAATGTGATTTGGGTGGGGACACAGAGCCAAACACTATCAGTGAGCTTGTCAAAGAAGAGTAAGAGACTAAGAAGAATGCAGTCCTAGAAAAACGAACACTAGTTCTTCATTAGTCTTAGTTTCAGTTCCCACATCTTATGTCTCAGCTGATCATTCACCTGGTTCTAGATTACCTAGCAATTCTCTAGGTTACCCAATCACTTGTCAGTGAATTTCTCTTCTGCCTTATAGTCATGGTTAGTTTGTTCTGCTTACAAATTTAAACTCTTCCCAATATGAATATGAATCTAAAACTCTTAATCAGTGCAGGAAAACAAAGGAAACTATTATGTCGATGTTTGGCCATTCAGAGTCTTACCGAGTCTGAGCAGAGCTTGAGTATTATTGGGCCTCTGTATTATTATTAACTGCATTCTTCAACGAAGCTCTGTATTTCTAATATTACTTTAATTTCTCTTTTGCATTGTCTTCATTCTCACTGTCCCTAACTTGGACCTTGTTCCTCACTATCTTATTTCTATAGTTGCCTCCTAACTAGTGTCCATGCTTCCACTTCATTTACCTTGTGCACCAGTTCTGGTTAATTTTCCAAATGCCTTTTTGCAGTCTCCTTTTTCTGCTCAACATTACTGCTATGGCAGTTGGCTTCCTACAGCATGGATCCAAATTCCTTAGCTGATTAATCAAGGCTCTTTTATATCTGAAAACACATTATTGCTCTATTTAGCCACCACCATCTCCTCCAGACACAATTCTCCCCTACAAGCATGCAACATTATTTCTGTCTTTTTACTTTTCTTCTATTCTCTCCAGTTAAGTATTCTTTCTGATTTCTCAAATAACTCAAAATAGAACTACCATTTGACCCAGCAATCCCATTACTGGGTATATACCCAAAGGAAAATAGATCATTATACCAAAAAGACACATGCACTCATATGTTTGCTGCAACACTATTCACAATAGTAAAGCCATGGAATCAATCTAGGTGCCCTTTAACAGTGGATTGGATTAAGAAGTGGCACATATACATCATGGAATACTACACAGCCATAAAGAAAGAATGAAATCGTGTCCTTCATAGCAACATGAATGCAGCTGGAGGCCATAATCTTAAGCAAATTAACATAGAAACAGAAAACCAAATATCACATGTTCTCACTTATAAGTAGGAGCTAAATCTTGAGTATACATGGACATAAAGATGGGAACAATAGACACTGGGGAATCCAAAAGGAAGGAGTGCATATGGAGGGCAAGGACTGAAAGACTTCCTATTTGGCATTATGTTCACTATCTGTGACAAGATCAATAGAAGCCCAAACCTCAGCAGCACACAATATACTCCTGTAACCTGTATATGTACTCCCTGAATCTAAATTTAAAATTTAAAAATACATAATTTTATTTCTGAATACCAACCCAAACATTACCCTTCCTTAAAACCAAATTAAGCCTTTCTTCCATTTTAAAAATAAACTTTCCTAGTTTCTACTTTTTTTCCTGTCCAATACATATTTCTAGTAAATTGTAAATGCAAAAACTTGAGGGGATCTCAAAATTATTTGGCTGTATAAATGGAATAGCTGTATAAATTGAGCCCTCCCACATTGACTTTACCGGTCTTCTGTGTTCAGTCTTGCACTTTATCTTACACCCTAATGTTTGCAGGCCTTACCCCCTACCTGTCATGTCTTTGTTGTCCTTCTCAATACCCAGTGGAACTGATTTCAAACTGAATCGAGTTGCTGTTTTAGAATTCACTTAGATAGGCTCATCATTTTAAGAAATCTGATGCGACATTATTTGAGGACTTAAGCACTCATTTCCTAGATTCCTTTCTTTTCCAAATATGGAACCTCCTTTGTCTTATTTTATTTTTTGACTGAATGCGACAGGTGAAAATTGAGAATATATCCATGATCTCTGGCAGGGTTCCCATGGGATAAGCAATTTCCATAGAGAGAAGGAAAAGGCATAGGTTACCACTCAGTTCTCTGCTTTTGAACATGAATCTGGTGCCTATGAGTCTTTAGAATTTGATGCTCAGCCACTGTGAAGCTTCACAGCATGGCAGCACCTTACTTTCCCATCTGAGATAGTTTACATGCGACAGAAACAGCTTTCAAGAATTCCTTGTTGCCTAGAGGGTTAAGAAGGAAATGTAGCTCTTTGAGCATCACTGATAAAAGTGAAATCAAAAAATAAATAAGCAAAATAATGGAAGGCTTTTTATAGAAGCTCCCCTGTATAACAGAGTATCCATATGCTTTTTTCTTAATTTCTCGACTCTTAATGACTCATTAAAACCGTTCTATTTTTTTAAATATTAGAACAAAACCATTTGAACACCATTCTAATACATTACCTGTAATTGTTGCTGAGGCAATAAAGAAAATAACCTCTCCAAGTCCCAGATGTCATATTAGGAAGAAATTTATTTATTACCAATGTATTTATGTTCCCTCTTAAAGTGTTTTTTAATCAAAATTTATGTGTATAGGAGATATTTCAAACCAAGTCATTTATCTTTTTTTGGTGTAAATAGTCATAGCCAACCACAACAGTAAATGTCACTTCCTAGAGCAACAGCTTGCACATGCTCAATACAAATGTTATAAATTAGTACATAAAGTTTTAGAGTGTTTAATAAAAGCTTAATAGTTTTCTGACATACTTTTTCCCAATTTCTTGGTGCTGTTCATTTCCAGAGCATTTGTACACATGTGAAAAAGAAGTCCTTTAAACACTGCCTACTTTTTACATCCACTGCTCATAACTTGTCTGAACTATTAAGGATGAAAAAAAATCCCATAAATCAAGATGACATGAAGGGAAAAAATCAACTTAATGCCATGAGAAAATAATGTGTCCTTCCCACCAAAATAACCTAAACAAACAGCTGAAGAAATTGTTCTAAAGGATTAAAATATTAGTCAAACGTTTCTTTCTTTGAGATAATTTTGCTTAAAACAATTTTCACATAAAGTTAGGTGGCTAGTGAAAAGATTGCTCAAAGGTGTGGTTTTTTATTTTGTGGTTAAGATTTATAGACCTTAAGCCTTGAAGCCATTGAGCATTCATGCTGAACTCAGTTGGAATAGCCTGGGAGGTGGCAGGTCACAGGTTAAAGTAAAAAGTAGGTAAGCTTTCCCTTACCTGGTCTTCTCTCTACCATAAAGCACATGGTTTGGAAGCAGTCTCACCACTCAAATAAGGTTAAAAACCACCTGAGTAGATCAAACCAGGGAAATGATCCCCTCTTAATATATCCAATTCAGCTTAGAATTGGAGGCACTATGGTTCAGCAACCCGAAAGTACTGATGAAGCAGAGAAAATGGGATCATACTTCTACAACAATCTGCTTCCAGAGTGGAGCTTGTAGCCTAACCTAAGGGGAAAATAGTGAGTACTGTGTCTCATAGGGTAGGGGAAAAGGGAGCTAGAAGGACAAATTTATCACAGCTCGTCTTGTGGATTTAACATTCTTTTACTCCAAAATTGAAAAATACTCAAAACCCACAAGAAAATACCAATTGGTAGGTAAAAGAGTCACTTAAAAACTACAATAATGGTCTCTAAAATATATGCCAAAATAGTTGCTGTTGCTTGGGGGTGGGGAGTGCTTAGAGCTTTATGCTTGTCATATTCATCTGCTAGGATGGCCATAACAAAATATCACAAACTGGATGACTTAATATAAATTTATTTTCTCACAGTTATAAAGTCCAAGATCAATGTGTCAACAAGTTTAATTTCTTCCAGGACCTCTCTTCTTGGCTTGCAGATGGATGACCATCTTTCCCTTTGTCTTCACATGGTCTTTCCTTTTTATATTGTCTGTGTGCTAGCTCCTTAAAAGGACACCAATCGTGTTGGATTCAGGCCCACCCACATGACCTCATTTTATCTTAATTCTTTAAAGGGCCTATCTTCAAGTATTCATATTTTGAGGTACTGGGGGTTAGGACCTCAACATATGAGTTTGGAGGAAGGAGGGAGACACAATTCAGCCAGTAATAGTGATGTACAAAAATTGAAGTAGACTCGTGTTAAATGAAAATTATAGAAGGCCATTTTTCTGGACTAAGTTTCTGCACTAAGCCCCAACAGATCGGATTAAAAATTAAAATGAAGTCAACCATTCATGTCACCAAACCCAAACTAGATTTTTTCAGACCTTCCTAGAAATCAGGAGAAAGAGATAACAGCCAGTTTCCCAAACAGACCCATTTAAATATTCGATCAGCTTGATAATAAAAGTCCTTCCGTTTTAATCCTTACAATGAGCGACCTGAAGTAACCTGATGTTAACCAATCAGTTATCACTATTGTTCTATCTACCTGTCCCCAACTTACCAAGAAAATAGCTTTGAAAAAACAAATACAGTCTTTGTCATTTGGTTCTGCTCTCTTCAGCCTTTCTATGCCTATAAAGCCAACCCTTTCTATTTTAGGGAATGAAGTATTGCTCAATTCTAGAATCACAAGAAAGCCAATTGAGATCTATAAAATTGTAGTTTTGTCCTTTGATACTTGACATAGCTCATATAGACAATTTGAATCAAACTTATTTTTGCTTACTGATTCACAATAACCTAGGTAAATGTGGCAGTTGAGAGCTTGTTATCCTATAGCATCCCACACACTCTGTTTGCTTCTCTGTATGCCAGTAAATTCTTTCTAGCCCTCTCTATACTTATTGCATCCGTATTTGTACTCAACAAGAGTACAAGCTTCTAGGTACTAAAGTTATGTAAATAGCCTTAGGTAAGCGAAGACCCTGATTTGTAAGCATGTGGAATGCAACCCATGAGTAGACCACAAAATCAATTTAGTGGATGGTGCCATTGTTTCAATAAAAGAGATTTAAAATATTATAGTGTGTGAAATAGTAACGTGAGTAGAGAAGTGATATCAGCAACTATAAAGGAGTAAGGATCTCCAAAAATTCTCTCCTCCAGGGAAGCAATGAGAACAGCGGCAAAATTGTCAGGACCAACTTTTTCAGAACTATGGAAATTAAAGGCTTGCAGCAAACCAAGAAACTGGCTGAATTTCAGTCAAAACAGTAAACTTTGCAGCATTTTAACTTACCCTATTCTCACCGCTCTATCCCACCCCTGTGGTAGACTTGAAAACCAAAAGCCAACTCAGTGAATTCAGCAGACTGGCAGCTACTGGAGGGGGCCCAACAAGTTTCACAGGGGAGTTCTCTCAAACCACATTCCCAGATAATTATTATTATTTAACCTGTCTGGAGTTTCCTAGAAGAATTCATTCACAAGTCTGGCTTTATTTGATGTGATTGGAGATTGCCTAGTGAAAACAGCCTGTTTTTCTGGGGTCACTTGTTAAAAACAATCAGAGGCAATTTTTGAACATTACAGATGCCTGAGGCAGTAGATAATGATTGGGTCAAACAATAGGCTCACAAAAAAGCTTAAAAGGAAATTCTGGGGAATGTGTTATGATAGGAAGCTTTGGAAAGTTCTGATAATCTCTGGGACTCTGCTGTACATGTGCCTGGGGGTATGTACATGCTCAGGAAAGGCTTGAGATGGCCCTAAACTCTCACATCTGACTGACCTTGAGTCTGCATGAGCAGAAGGTCACATGCCTGAACACACATATTGTCCTACAAAAATCACTAAATTGTATACTTTAAGATGGTAAGTTTTATGGTATGTGAATTATATCTCAATTTAAAAAACTATTAGTTGTTTATCTGAAATTCAAAATAAAAAATAAGAGTAGGTAGCTCTATCATAATGTTGATTGAAAGAATTCAGATACTTCATTCACATGCAATTCAAAAACAGGCAACACTAATCTATGTTGATAAACCTTCAAGTAGTGTTTACCTCTTTGGGAGTAGGGTGGGTGTTTACTGTAAGGGGACATGAGAAAGCCTTTTTGGGGGCCTCAATATGTACTATATCTTGATTGAGGCTGTGGTAACATGATAGGTATTATATATACCCATGTATAAATTCATTAAGCTGCACACAGGATTTGCTTTGCTATATGAATTTGCTTTGCTATATGAATTATATCTCAAAAATTTTTTTTAAATATAAGTATAAACATTATTTTATCAAAATTTTGCTGTAGTTGAATATATGTGTATATGTATAACTAGGTCATGATGTAAAATATGTTTATTTCTGTGGGCATGATCAAAGTGTCTGAAAATCCTAAACTAGAATGTTAGAATTCTATGTAGAAACTTGCATACTTTGAGATATGAACAAATTGTACTTATCAGTCACATTTCTTGGAATACAATTTTTTAAAACTACAAGTTGTTTAAAGTATTGCTCTAATAAATAACCACACAATGAGTCAAAATCTTTGGCCAGGTGCAAGTGGCTCATGCCGGTAGTTTCAGCACTTTGGGAGGCTAAGGCAGGAGGGTTGCTTGAGCCCAGTAGTTTCAGATCACCCTGGGCAACATGATGAAATCCTCTCTATACCAAAAATGAAAAAGTTAGCCAGGCATGGTGGCATGTACCTGTGGTCCAAGCTACTCAGGAGGCTAAGGTCGGAGAATCACTTGACTCTGGGAGGTCAAGGCTGCAGTAAGGCCATGTTTGTGCCCCAGCACTCCAGCCTGGGTGACACAGCAAGACCCTGTCTCAAAAAATAAAAAAAGTATTCTAGCCTTATCATTATCAACTGAAGAATGATGAGATTCATAAATTTGGAAACGAGAGCTTTGTTTCTCATAAAGAGTTGCAGCCTGGTCTGCAGGGTGGCCATTCTGACAGGCTGAAAAGCATAGCCTCCAGTCAGAAGCCAGACACAGACACTTTGAGGGAGGGGCAAAAGGAAAAGGAATTTACATTGAGCAAGGTGGCACATATATAGATTTAATAAGCTGTACGAGGAGTTGTGAATATTTATGGAAGAAGAAATGCGCGCATGTGCAATTGATTTTCATACCCCTTCATGGGTCTCTTGTGCAAAAAATGCCAGCATCAGCATGATCCAAAGGTGGAGTTTTTGGCTTGGTGACATCAAATGCTGAAACAGAGGACACGAAAAACCCTTACTGCACATTCTCCATAGACTGTCCAGAACTACTCCCTGATTGGTATGAAGCCAAAAAAAAAAAAAAAAAAAAAAAAAAAAGAAGGGGCAGTGGCAGGTGGTTGGTTGATACAAGTGGTGGAGTATTTTGAAAGGACTGGTTTTTGTTTATCCCTTATGGAAGAAAGTCTAATGGCAGTTAGCAAGGAAGGAGGTATAATGGGGCATGTCTGATCTGTCATCCCAAGACATGGTCGAAAGCTCAGTTTTCAAGGTTACTGTGGAGTCCCCTTGGCCAAGAGGGCATCTTTTCAGTCTGTTGGGGGTCTTGGGGTTTTATTTTTATTTCTTGTCACCAACCATCAGAATCCCAGCTTTAAACACCGTTCTTTATAAACGTTTCACTTCCAAAGCCAAAAGTGACCTCTTTACTTTCTAAATCTTACATTATTTCATTGGTTTCTTTGATACAGGAGCTAGAAAGAAATTATTTAGGCAGATAGTGAGGGTAAGAGAGTCCTCCATAAGTTTTCCTTTTAATAAAAAGCAACCCCAAAATGATTTCTTTTCTAACAGAAAGCAGCCTGAGAAGTCAAGCTGTAAGCATAGATAAGCAAGCTAAAAGCTTTCATAGGTAAATGCTGGCAGCTGAGCCAATAGAAAATTGGCTACCTGGGGACCAGGCATGTTCAACATAGTGGCTCCATCTTCTCTTTTCTTTGTCAACCACATGTACAGTAAGGAAAAAACATAATGGCACCAGCCAGGTGGAGAACCCACAGTAAGGAACAAACAACATGGCACCAGCTAGGTAGAACCCATCTGCATAATAGAAGATTAGGGTGGGATGGCCAGTTTCTTTGTGCACTACGCAAACATCATACCTGGTCTGATCAATCTTTTGGGTCCTGTGTAAATCAGACACTGCCTCCTCAAGCTGTCTATAAAACCCCATGCATTTCACCACAAAAACGGAAGACCTACTCAGGCGCTCCTCTCTCTCTGCAGGAGAGAAAGCTATTCTGTTTTTCTTTTGCCTATTAAACATCCGCTCTTAAACTTACTTCTTGTGTCTGCGTCCCCGATTTCCCTGGTGTGGGACAATGAACCTCGGGTATTTACCCCAGACAACAATGCTGCTTCATCTTTATTATAGTATATTTACCTCTGACATTAACCTGGCATGGTATTCTTGTATTATTTCCTTTCCTGATAATACAATCCTGGGAAATCCTGGGAAATCCTAGGATCACATGATTATATTATTCCTTTCCTCATTTCCCATAAAGCTTTATGTTGTAGTTTGCAAATAATAGATATGGCATAAAAGAAAGAAATCAATAAAGGTAAGTGACCCTAAACTATGTAAATTTAGAAGTTTAAAATTTATATAAGAATATAAAAATCTAATACTTAAGTACAAATAAAAACTCATCAAACAATAGGTGAGTAAAACTGTGTGTGTATGTCTGTATATATGTATAGATGCATGTATGTATGTATATAATTTATTGGGTGTACCTGGAAGTTTAAATCTATCATTCATTAGCAAGTCAAAATGATTACTGGATTCTGAGCTCAAAAGTCCCCTTTTCTGTTCTGTACCTCACCTATAGGTTGCCAAACCAAGTTCATAGTTCACTAATGTCAGGGAGAGTTGAGGAAAATCAATAAGAAAACAAAGATCTTAACCTAGAATCAGAACGAAGGATTTTGACTCTTCACTAGAACAAACAAGCTTTTATCATCACTTGGCTTGGACATACCCAAGAAATTGCAAAGATAGAGATGAACCATGCTCCTGAATCAAATAACTTTTGGCTTAATATTTTTTTAAAATAATGAAAACAAAATTTGTCTCTTTCTAATTGAACCTCACCCTTTATGTGATGTTTTGTGATGAAGGCAATAAATCACAGAATCCAAATAGGAATCAAATATGTATTTCTTCAGGGTTGTGCCTTTCATGGACAGCTCATGGGTCAGCAGTTTAAACTGCATGTCATCTCTCTTGTTGGTAACTGTTGCTATTCTTTGCTGATTGACTGTAATTGATTGGCCAGTGGGTGGTAAACAGCAGGACAGTGAGACTGCACAGCTTAAACAGCAATGAGGAAGCACTTCAGACATTTTTCAAGACCTTAAGTGGTCTAGTGTTTATTTTCTTTCAAAGGCACATATGTAATTGTGCAATCTTAGCTGTAAGAAGATAAATTCTTTTTGAAAAGCAGAATTCTTATGAAAATATATGCTTAGTCAAAATCCCAGGTATTACTAAATACTCATTCTCTTATGATCATCTCTCCATGTCTTAATTTAAGCATCTTCAATTGTGAATCTACTTCTTGGCAGAATTCTTCTTCACAAATTTTGAGTAGATAATAACAGAAGAGCTTTCCCGAACTTCAACATCTCACTTTCACATTCATAAAATTTGTAATTTAAGAGCTGACCTTCATAGGAGATTCTCTTTAATGTACATAGCACCCAATCATTGGCTTAAAAAAAAAGTAGGATGACAAAATAAAAGCAGTTTTCACTGATTTTACTTCTTATTGAGAGTAAGGTTTAGACACATGTCTACTTTAAGTCTACTTTTGGTATGGTACTGCGAAGGCTTCAGCCACCTATATTTCAGACCTGTGATCTAAGAATAGAAATTTGTAATTTATTATCAGTAACTGTGATGTCTGGGATTTGATTTTTACCCCCCTTACATGCTAATAAATTAATTTGTTACTGTTTCATAGATTCTGGTAGAAGACACAAGACTCCTGGCTCAAAAACAAATAATTTTAGTATTCACAGCACAGCAAGTTGATGAGCATCAGCATGATATGTTGGTTTTGCTCTACTTCCTATGGGGGGTAATGCAGAGAGCCAGATGGAGAGTGCACACATAGCAGATTTGCTTGCAGTTAGAGGAAAAAAAGCAGCAGCATGCCCAGGAGTAGTCAGGAGGAGTCCTGAATTTTCAAAATAGGTCTAGATAATTCTTACTGTCTTTTTCCAAAACATTACCCTGAACACAGCCAAAAAGAGATGAACATTTTCTAAGGACAGCAGCATTCAGTGACCAAACTGCCTTACTAAGATGTGTCAAGTAGGAGGATGTGATGAGGGGGAGTCAGAAATATCTTTGAACTGATTTTTGAAGAAGTCTTTCTAGTGCTCAACAATACCAGATGCCTGTAGATGGTGTAGAATGTGGAATGTCCATCAGATAAATGGCCCTTAATAATTAGCCCATTTTGAGGCCAGGCGTGGTGGCTCATCCCTGTAATTCCAGCATGTTGGGAGGCCGAGAGGGGCAGATCATAAGGTCAGGAGTTTGAGACGAGCCTGGCCAATATGGTGAAACTCTCTCTTTACTAAAAATATAAATATTAGCCGGGCATGGTGGCAGGTGCCTGTTGTCCCAGCTACTCGGGAGGTGAGGCAGGACAATCTCTTAAACCCAGGAAGTGGAGGTTGCAGTGTGCTGAGATTGTGCCACTACACTCCAGCCTGGGCAACAGAGTGAGACTCCGTCTTAAAAAAAAAATAAATAGCCCATTTTAGACTAACCTTTTGTACTAAGGGCATACTATTTTTCAACTCCAGGTGGGCTGGAAAGCAGAAAACGTGACACAGTTTAATTTCAAAGCCTACAGCAATGTTGCCAGAGATGAGACAGTAACATGAAAACCTTAAAAAGTTTTAACAGTGGTAAGACACCAACAGTAGCTCCAAGAGAGAGTCAAGGGTCAATGCATGCAATTTTTCAGGAGTAAACAGGGCCAGCGCATCATGTGGCTTTTTTCTTTTTTTCTGCAAAACAAATGAGTTAACTTTCACAGAAATCAAAAGTCTAATATACATTGGTAGCTTCTGCATCAGAAACATAGAATTCTTTACTATGTGCCCAGTCCATGATGGTGGCTGTGTTGTCATGTCTGCTGTCATGATGACCTGGGTGGCACAGGGTTTATCAGCTACTTGGCTCTAAAGAGGAGTGTCTTTAATCTCCCTGTCTGAGATCTTCGAAGTGACAGACCAGATGGCTCTGACACTAATAACGACCCAGGAGTCAACAGAAATGTAGCAAAGCTGAACAAAGGGGGATTGACCAAGGCTATGAGGACTGCCCTAAGTTTGCTTACCAAGAGGATTGACTGTGTCTGCTTTTGGTTTCACATAGCTGACCTTGACGCTGAACAGTGAGTGGCAGCAGCTCAGTGGACACCATCAGGTGTCCAGCTAAAGCTGAATTATCAGTGCACCAGGCCCAATCATTTAGTGAAGCCTCTTTGAATCTAGGATCCCATTGTTCCAGCTACTTTAATTCCATTTTAATGTAAAACTGAGATGACACTCGGGCCAGGCTAGCTGCACTAATGAATATGCCATTTCCATTTAGTGAGGCCTGTGGGTTCCCACCTATCTTGTTAGTCATGAGTTCAAGTTAACCCACTCCTGTTTTGGGTGAGAGATACTAAGCAGAAAAGCCACACGGGGTCCCTGTGAGTAAGGCATTCCATTTCAAGAGCCTAGTGTTTGCACAGGCCAGTAGCTGCATTTCAAAAGGGATGTACTTGGTGCCTGTATCAGGCAGGTGGTGCTGTTTCACTGGGAAATAGCCTGAGTCTTCCCATAGTCTTTCAAGTCTATAATTGTGAGGATTGTTTTCTGCTAGAGCACCCTGCAGGAGACAGTAGGTGCAGCAGTCCCTGAGCAAGAGAGTGCCTTCTGGCACTTAGGGGATGGAGAAGTGCAGGCATCTACTACACCATTCCATTTTAAATTCAGATGTGGGAACACAAAAATCACTACATTGAATTAGCCCACTGGGCCCCACCCACAATGTCACTAACAAAGATAAGTCCCATCAAAACTCCCATGGGTTGAATTTGAGCACCATTTTCCCCTAAGGAAACATAGACCAAGAAGTTAACAAGTATGTGAGTTAGGGCTATAGCAACAACTGCCAGGAGACTACATTGTCTCCCAGCAAGGAATGCATGGCGTGCAGTGTGGCAGCAGAGAGTGTCTCACAGGAAACAGGGAAGATAAGGAGGCTTTTTCTTTGCCCTTGATCTCTCCAGAATTAGCGCCTAAGCACAGTTATGCTTCCTTCCCTGTGTACCTCCCAGCATCTGAGTGTCTGGGACTAGGGACCCCTTCTTGCACCTGCACAGCCCACTGTGGCTCCCACCTAACAGCCCTCATGTCCTTTGGTCACCCTGCACTTAGTGCTCTGTCTTCCTTGGCAGCCAAGTTGGGCTGCAGCAGGGATAAGATATGCTACAGCAGCTGGCTCTGCACCATTAGAAACAGTTTTGCACTTATTTTAGGTTTCCAGCAGCCACTCATTTGCAGCTCAGAAAAACAAATTTCCAATATTTTTAGCCCAACCAAAGGTCTGCGTCAAATAGCAAGGTCATCATTGCTGACACCATTTATTTCAACTTTTTGGATTCCTAGGCTCCACAACCACAGCCACATTGCCTTTCAGTTGGGGCCTCAGGGCTTATTGCTTCATTGTCATGGTAGCAATCTTTTGTCCTCTTCCCTGGAGGACAGTAAACAATAACCAATATACCTTTTGGGCAGCTTGTTTCAACCTTATCTCTCACTGCCTAGGCTCATTAACAGTTAGGACAAGGAAAGGCCCTTACTCTGCCTCCTCCATCCTTCCCTACATCTTGGAGTGAGTACATTCACTACCAGTCCCAGGAGTCCTCCTCTGAACCCAACTTTTAGGATTCTTATCCTTCCTCTGCCAGAAAGCCAATCTCTTTCAATATTCTATCCTTATCTCTAAAACTACTGGGTCTAGAATTTTATTTTACCCTCCTTACAAACTAATAAGTTAGTCTATTACTGTTTCAAGGATACTGGCAGGAGACACAAGATTAATGGGTCAGAGGCAAAAGAATTTATTACTCACAGTTCAGTAAGTAGCATGAGCATCCGCATGTTTGCTTTAGTTCCTCTTGCCCCCAGGGTTAGGGTGGTGAGGAAGAGGGTCCACATGAATGCTACATATATAAGCTGGGTTTGCATTGTAGCTGAGGAACACCTTGCATTTTAGAGCAAGCAGTAAGCAATCCTGCTCTTTGTCCTGAAGGGGAGAGCTTACTTCTCCCTCAAGGGTATCTAATAGAAACCCTGAGAAATGGTCCAGATAAAAAATAGTCAGGGTCTTGCACTTTGAATACATCCTGCAGGAAAAGACAGGGAGTCTCGTGGCCCATGACAACTGCCTCTCCCAACATTAACATGTTTGACCACCCATTACACACCATAAGATACTCTACTAAGTTCCTTTACTGCCTTATTTCATTTAATCAGCAGGCCAACTCTGTGAGTCAAGTACCATTATTATCATCCCCATTTTTTAGATGAGAAAACTGATGTTCAGAGAGTTTAATAGGCCAAAATCACATAACTGTAAAAGGAGAAACTAGTGTTCAAATCTAAGTCTCATACCAAGGCCCATTCTCTTAACCACTGTCTTACGTCTGTCCAGTTGTTGACTCAGGATTCTGCAAAGTTCTTCAGGGCATTTTAATATATGTACTTACCAGGGTTGGACATTTACACACTCAAAGACATATTAATATCTAGCCAGTTGAAGCACAAATGTTATGAGGGCAGACATATTTCCCCTACTTTATATAAGGTTGATAATGGTTGCCTTCTCTGTGTAGATGCAGGTAAAATGTCTACAAGATATCTTGGAGGGTCACCATTTGCCTCTGTTTACCACCAGCCTCTCATAGTTTATGCTTATTGTTCTAATGTATTCATAGTGCCCCTACAGAGAATCAAAACAATTATTCATCATAATTTTTATCGTGAGGATAGTTTTATTAAAAAATTATCGAAAAGATAGAGGAAAAGGAATTAATTGGGAAATCTTATATATCTGAGCAGCACTTCCCAACTTTATATATCAGAGCAGTCTTTTCAAAACCATTGTTTGAAAATGTATACGCTCTGCAAACACAGTAGTAATCTGATTAAACATTTTCTTGTTTATTTTTTATTGAGACAGAGTCTCACTATGTTCCCCAAGTTAGTCTCGAATTCCTGGGCTCAAGCCATCTTCCTGCCTTGGCCTCCCACAGTACTGGGATTGTAGGTGTGAGCCACCATGCCCGGCCTGATTAACATTTTCTGGTGCACATCAGTACTCTTCTAATTATTCCTGCCTTGTTTTCTGGTTTTCCCACAACTCAGTAACTCCCCATCTATATCCAACAGATAAACTCCAGCCAGTACATACAAACAATAAATATGCTAGAAATGAGTAAAAGGCCAGTTAACCTGCATATATAGTTCAGCCTACTGGAATAACATTTATTCAATAAAACATTTTAACTGAACACTAGTTATGTGCATGTCATTGAAAGTCCTGAATATGCAAAATAAACTTTAGATCAATTCCCACTGATACGTGCATTACCTAACAATATGCCCACATGTATCTAAAATAATATTATAGTGAAACATTCACAATAATTTAAAAACATGAATTATAATTATATAAGTAAATATGTAAATATATGAATATAAATATGTGTGGAATGAAAACATAAATGAATTTAATAGCAAGAAATTAAATTTTTCAAAATTTAATTTTTGGTAAAATTATTTTGATTCATAAAAGTTGAACAAGATTAATAATAATGACAGTAACAAAAACAGTAGACACTACTTCCAGGAGTTTACCACCTAATCAAGGAGAGAAAAAATTCTCAAGAAATGGTTGCATAATACTTTCCAACCAATATAATCTATGTGCAAATTCCCACTCTGCCTTTTCTTTCTTTCTTTTTTTTTTTTTACTGGTAATAGAGTTTATTCAAATATAGGCGCTGGGGCTTGCCCATGGTGCTCTTGATATATAAGGCCGGACATTCTGCCAGTATTTCTTGAGCAATGACAACAAGAAGCTGACAGCCAGGTGAATGTTATCCACAAGCTCATCGTCTGTCATCTTCACGTGACCAACAGCTACAGCCAGATATAACACCTTCTTCATTTGGAACTTGATTGTGAACTTCACCTCATCCACTTTGGCCACCATGTTTTCGTTGTGTGTGAGCAGGGAAGGGAACTTTCCTGCCTTATTTAGATCTGGGCCGAGGATTCGTGGAATCTGCTTGATCAGAGACTCTGAGGCCAAAAACGCATCATACTTCTTGGCCAGCTTCTTGACCAGTTTTTTATTCTTGTTGAGTTTTTTCAGCGCCTCAGTGTCCATGTGGGGGATATCCATGGCCTTGGCCTCGTCGCAGTGCTACTGGTCCGCCAGAACACACACAGAGAACTTGGGGCGGGGAGTGGACTTAAGCCTGATGGTGCCCGAGGAGCACTTGTCCTTCTGTGGGTCATACTTCTTCAAGCTGATCTGCACCTACACCGTCTCCTGGAATTTGTGGCGCTAGCGCTGGTTCCTGTGCAGGACTTTCCGCACTGCCTCCCACTGGGTGTCGCGAGAGACTTTGCTGCTCATGGCTTCTGCCGCCGCGCTAACCGGAAAAGAGTCTGCCTTTTCTTTAACATTTTATTTTGTATAAAGAAAACAATATGGAAAGGGCCCAGAGTGAGAAAGGAGATGGGAAGTAAAATTTTCATTCAGTCTGGACATCTGTAACAGAGAGATATAATCTCTAGGGTAGTTAAGGTACACACAAGCCTATGGGAAAAATGATGTGGTTTGAAAGGTGTTTAAATCCATTTACACTTTTAGCAGATTAGACCACCTGCTACACAGCAATATCCTGAGGGTATTGACTGAGGACAGCTAAGTTTTGATGAAAGAAGGGATAAAGACCAGAATTGAAGTTATTTAGATAGGATTTCAGATCTCTGAGTGAGAAAATTCAGGAGGAAGCCCTTAAGATTAAAGAGGTACCAGCATGAGGGCCTAGGGTTTCTCGGAAAAATTAGGAAGGAAGAATGGAGAGGGAATAAAAGTAGAAGTGGGGATTTCAATTTTAGTTTTCATGCCCAGAATATCACGATTTAGTCTTGAAAACAGCATCCGGCTCTCGTTCATTTTTGTACTGACGTAACATACCTTCTATTTGCTAGCTTTCAGGGATAATTATTCAGAATGCCAGCCTCTACTATTCTCATCAGGCTTGCTTGGAAAGATAGTCCTTCTGTGGATGAAATGTATGGTACCTAGGAGTGTACCTAGCCACCATAATTAAAGTGTAATAGGCAAGTAGATAAACAAATGGTTAGATCAATAACAGTAAGCCAGGCATTCCAAAGTATTTGGGTTTCTTTCATTTTGCTCTGGGGCAAGTCACCTGACCTCTTTGTCAGAGTTTTCTCATAGTTAAAAATAGGGCAAATCAATTGTTTCCTACTGTGTTTCCTGGGAGTATAAAATTTGGTTCATTTTAAAGAACTTTGTAGCAGTTCAATATTATAACACCGAACATATGGATTCTTCCTTAGATAAACTTCAAAATATTACATTATTTTTGTTAAAAAAAATAAAACTCCGCTATTCTCTCTTTGAACCATCTCTCTCACAATGTTATCATTGTACACATTCTGAAATTAACTGACGTATTTCCTGCTGCGGCACAGATAGCAGATAAAACGAGGTTCTGGGCTCCAAAAAGAGCAAAAGCCTACACACAAAAGACTTTTTCTCCCAGAGGTCAGAAAATTCAGCTTGAAGGGTTGGCAAACACCCAATGTATCATTCAGCATTACTTGTATATATTGTCTGAGTCCACTACAGCAAGCCAACTAAATGATGAGAACTACCCTCTGGAGATTAATTATGTTTCCTTTCTTATTCTGCATTGAAGTCTCTTGATAATGTACTCCCAGAACTTCAATTTCCAGGTTACATGCAATATTAAAAGTAGTGGATTCATAGTTTTGAATTGCTATTCTTTCTCATTTTCATTCCTCTTTTCAGAAAACACAAAGAATGACTAGCTAATTCAAACAACCGTATAATTTGCAGATGGAGATTCTGTAGTGCAACCATGGAAAACTTTTGCTCTCCTCATTGTTATGCTTCTTCTGTTAGGATCATCAAAAGCAGGTAAACTTATCAAAGAAAATGACAGATAATTAATCTCTCAGGACATAGAGAAGGGAGAACGATTTAAATAGTGTCTCTTCTCATTTCTAGTCATATAGGCTTTCATTTTTTAAACCCAACACTTTTAGACTTAAAATAATAGGAACTTTTCAGAGAAAAAAAGGCATTTTGTTAGTATATTTTTGTTTCAGTTTACAATCAGTGTTGAGACTTTAAATGTCTTTTATAAATTTCATAAGTACCTAACACAAGAGTAGGTATGTGACATGTATTTAGCACTTATTAAATAATTTAGATCCAGACTTAAGCTTCATACTAAAATGTTTTTCCTTAAATAATGATGCTTTATATAATTCTAAGAAAACTCAAAAATTTTCTGAAATCCTGCCCCCCAAGTTCAATATAGTTTTAAATGAGGTTCTTCTTCCCACATTGAGGAAATTCCCACAATCATCTAATAAATTCACTCTGATATATCCATTGTGTGATACACTCCTCTGTTGTTCCAACCTTTATTTCACTTGATATGAACACAGTTATCCCCAAATATACACTGTACTCCCTTGCTTGCCCTCTGTGGCAGGTTTTCAGAATTTTCCTCCAATTGCTCCTCAAAGAGCCTCCAGCTTCACCCATCAGAGCATACACACCCAGTTTCTCCTGTGCAGGGGCTGGTGGAGTCAGATGGCTCTACTTGTCTAGGACCACATATACTATGTTCATATTTGAATGGAAAAGGGAGAAAAAGCTAAAATACATTAAAGTGAATGGCAAAAAAAAAAAAATAGAAAAAGTAAAAAGTGATCAGTAAAAAGTAAAAAGTAAAAAGTGATCAACTTTCATATATAGATAATAAATAGAAATCTTTAGACGCCATGGTCTACCAATTCTTATTTGTCTTGCTGATTAAAGCAAAAACATTCATGTGGAGGCCAGGCACGGTGGCTCACGCCTATAATCCTAGAACTTCAGGAGGCCAAGGCCGGTGGATCACCTGAGGTCAGGATTTCGAGAGCAGCCTAAGCAACATGGTGAAACCCCATCTCTATTAAAAATACAAAAATTAGTCGGGCATTGTGGTGCAAGCCTGTAATTGGAGCTACTCGGAAGGCTGAGACATGAGAATCACTCAAACCCAGGAGACAGAAGTTGCAGTGAGCCAAAATTGCGTGACTGCACTCCAGCCGAGGCTATAGAGTGAGACTCTGTCTCAAAAAAAAAAAAAAAAAAAAAAAAAAAGAAAAAAAAACCATACATATAGGAACCAAAAATAAATGTTCTCCAGTAATAATGCTGTTCAATCAAGAATAAAGACTAGAAGGTAGTGGTTAGGGGGTCCCACTTCGGAGCCTGATATCTAGGCTCTAATCCTGTTCTGCTCCTTGTAAGGCCTTGGGCAGGTTACTTAACCCTCAAGGGCTTCGGTTTACTCATCTGTAAAGTGGGGAGCATTTGTCTAGATTTGTCTATCTCTTCATAGAGCTGTGGTGAGAATGAAAATTAATCATATGTGTAAAATATTTAAGTCGGTGTCTAGCATGCAATAGAGGACTCAGTTATGTTAGCCATTCAACTATTATCCTGACTGTCTTTAGACCTTTATGGTACAACTGTAATACTTTCATCAGACCAACCAACTTACCAGGTCCACAAAAAAAAGATCAGATAAGTAGATACAAAGAATTTCATTTCTTCATGAAAAAAACCTGAAGAGATTATTGAATTGACTCAAAGTCTCTTACTCTCTGCTCTGAATCTTGATTAACTTTGTTAGTAATTAAAATACACATTTATTCTCTTTTATTCTTTTTAAATTACCAAGCTCACCAATATTAGCTTTTGTGATAGAACATGCTGTGAAAATTACTACATCAGTCTATTCCACACTTGAAATCCATTGACCTGGAAATGAGAAAATAACCAAATCTAACATTTGATATAAATATTATCATAAAAACAGTGATATCGAGCCCACTACTTAAACAATGACTAAAATATTATTTCAGAAATGGAATTTTGCCTAGGAAAAAATTACATTTTAAAACAGTGAGACAGCATCATTCTCAGCAAACTATCGCAAGGACAAAAAACCAAACACTGCATGTTCTCACTCATAGGTGGGAATTGAACAGTGAGAACACATGGACACAGGAAGGGGAACATCACACACTGGGGCCTGTTGTGGGGTGGGGGGAGGGGGGAGGGATAGCATTAGGAGATATACCTAATGCTAAATGACAAGTTAATGGGTGCAGCACACCAACATGGCACATGTATACATATATAACAAACCTGCACGTTGTGCACATGTACCCTAAAACTTAAAGTATAATAATAAAAAAAAGAATGTTGAAGGAAGATAGAAGAAATATAGAACAAAAGTGAAGGTGGCTTATCAGAGAATTTGTGACCTGGATGTAGGAAGTTTGAGACTTTAGAGGGATGCTAAGGAGAATAACATGTGATCACTACACTAAAAAGCTTATAACTCTGCAGTCATATCGTGTACTTCTAATGTCAGGCACAATGCGAATTCCTCCTATGTATACCATCTAGAGTAAATACTGCAAATCAGTTTATTGAACCCCATGATGAACCCAGTTTGAAACTGCCTTCCTGTATAATAAATACTGGTAAGCTAAAAACTGCATTTTTAGATTCCTTACAGTTAGAAATTTGCAGGTGTTATAACTGGGAGTTTCTTCTGGCTTTATTGTTTTTGGCTAAGTAGAAACCAAAATCAGTTCCCTTGACTTCCTGGGACTTCTTTATTTTGCCTAATACTCTATAATAAATCTCTCCCCTTTCTGCTTAAACTAGCTTATTAGGGTTCTCCCGAGAAACAGAATTAAAAGGGTGTGTGTGTGTGTATGTGTGTGTGTGTGTGTGTGTGTGTATGTGTATGTTCACGCATGCTCGTGTTTGTGGCGAGAAAAAGAGATGGAATTGGCTCACATGATTGTGAAGACTGGCAAGTTCAAGATCTTCCGGGTAGGTTAGCAGACTGGAGACCCAGGGAAGGGTTGCAATTTGAGTTCAAAGACAGTATGCTGGCAGAATTTCTCCTTCCAGAGAGGTCAGTCTTTCTACTGAAGCCTTCAACTGTTTGGATGATACCCACTCCCATTATAGAAGGTAATCTTCTTTATTAAAAGTCTACTAATTAAATTTTAATCTGATCTAAAAAAATCTTCACAGAAACATTTAGATTAACATTTGACCAAATATCTGGGTACCATAGCCTAGTCAATTTGACACATTTTTTTAAAAAATCATAACTAGAGTGGTTTTGTTGTCCATATAAAGAGCTCTATCATATCATTTCACATAATCCTCACAATAAACTTGCAGGTTAAGGACCACAATCCTTATTTCATAGATAAGAAAACCAAATTCCAAAATATCTTGCACTGCACCATGAAACTAGTAAGTAGCTTAATATGATTTGGAGTCAGAACTCTAGATTCCAAGACGAGTGCTCTTTCAGTTACACTGCTACTGCCAATAACTTCATCTGGGAAGATAAAACTAACCACGTGAAGAAATAAAGGGTGAATACAACAGCAACTACTAACCCCAACTGTAGAAAGAATTTAGATATCTATCATGTTTATATAATTTGGGCCTAGGGTAGGGTTTTATGGATAAGGTGGGTTTTAAGATGGGTAAGATATATGCCAAGGAAAGAGAGAAAACACTCCAGATGAAAGAAACAGCAAGCAAAAGCAGAGGGTGGGTAAAGGCATAAAGATGTGAGGACGGAGAGAAGTCTGGGCTGACTTAGGAAGTGGTGAGGGAAGAAGTTTGATGCCTAGATTGGAACTTATTATGTCAGTCTTAAAATTGATAACCCAGGTAGACATTACAGTTTCTTGGGCAGAGAGGCATCTTGATGAATGCGGTGTTCAGCTATTACTCCTATTCTAGTAGCTGCCAGTCTTCATTTCTAGTTCTGGCACATCAACTCTATATTTCCACCTGTTCCCACAACATGCTTTATTATCACCTTATATCTCTCATTTCCAATGCCAACCATTTTTCTCCCAGACAGGTGCTCTTTCTTAACAATGGTATTGCTATTTCTTCCAGCCTTCCAAACTACATCTTTAATGCTTCCTTCTTTTTGTTCCCTAGATCTAATGTTCAACAGGGCCTCATTTCTTCATCTCAGTTGTCACTTGAGAACTGGTAAGGTTTAAGTGCATCTCAATGTGCCCAGATTACAATAATAATTCCCTAACTGACATCTCTGTTTCTAGCATAAAGGAGGATTGTAGAAAAAATATGCTTAAGCTCTCAACAGCGTGTGGCTGGTTCTCCAAATTCTAAAGGTTACTTACAGTTTACATAGTAAAAGGGTCACCTCAGCTCTAAAGATCTGGCATAATTCTTAAAGAGCAGTAAGTGCATTACATATATTCCCTAGCCCTTACTCCCAGGCAGAATTAATTATTCCCCTGAGACTCTAAACTTGCCTAAAGATAGGATGTATCACATTGTTTTATAGTTAATTATTTATATGACTGTCTGCCCCTGAGGTGTAAGATTTTTACTCCGGCACCACACCGCTTTTTCACCACTAAGCACTATTCTTTGTTCCTGTCATATTCTTACTTCTCTGCGTACCCAATTTAGAGCTCATTATTCATCATTATAATTACTGTGTTACAAAAAATTATTTCTTTAACATATCTCTTCTTCCATCTTACATTCTTGGCAAAGCCCCAGCTCTTAAACCTACCAATCTTCTTCCCTGTCAGCACCCAAACAACTAAACTTTGATGGAGAGTAGTTTTATAATCAGACTGACCAATCTCACTATAAATGCATGAACCAAATATAAAGTGGTCACAATACCTTACATTATCCTCTAATTAGCATCATTTTTATCCTCTTCATAGTGAAAGTCCTGCCTCCACTTTTTCACCTCACAGTCTCTCCTTTCTTCATCATACTCGTTAGTCTTCTCCTTCTACCACTCCACGGAGACTACTCTTGATAAGATAAACAACAGTCTCTATATTGCAAAATCCAGTGGATGCTACTCTGTTACTTAATCTTTCAAGAACATTTAAGACAACTGTTTGCTTGATTATTTTCCTACTCACTGGTCACTTTATCTCAATCTCTTTTGCCTCCTGCTTCTTAGCTCAACCTCTAAATTTTGGAGTGATTTGGGACTCCGTGCCAGGTAACTTTTTCCCCTATCTACACATTTTAAGTATTTCACCCAGTACCATGAGTTTAAATATCATCTGATTAACATGGTGGTCCATATCTATATCTCTAAACTAAACCTCGTCTTGAGACTCACTTATCTAACTGCCTCTTTAGATGTCTATTTGGATGCCTAGTAGCATCAGAAAGTTAACATTATCACAACAGAACGCTTCCTACCTCATCCACCCTCACAAATCTGCTTCTTTTTCCTCCCAATTTTCCCATCTTAGTACTAAATTTACTATCTAAATAAATGTTCAAGCCAAAACATCTTGAGAAACTGTTCTTGGTTCATCTTTATTTAAACAACATCCACCATTTAACCATTAAGAAGACCTATAGACCTTCCTGGAAACATATTTCAAATCTGTTCATTCCCTGCTTCCCCTATACACTCCATCTCTACACAACACCCAGTCAAATCTTTTAAAACTGTAAGCTAGCTATACTATTCCAGTGTGTGACCTTTCCCTTTCCATCAAACAGAAAAAAATGCAAAACTTTTCCCTGGCTTACCTTTACCATTGTCCCATAGAACTCTTTTCCTCAACCACCATGCTTTCTCCACACTTGCCTTCCTTCTCCTTCTCACACAAAGAAAACATATTTCTACCTTAGAATCATCACACAGCTGCACCCTTGGCTTGGAGTGCTCTTCCTTCTGATATTCATGTGACCAGATGTTTTTTGGGGGGCGGGGTGGGGCATGGGCAGAGATGAAGTTTTGCTCTTGTTGCCCAGGCTGGAGTGCAATGGCGTGATCTCAGCTCACTGCAACCTCCGCCTCCCAGGTTCAAGCAATTCTCCTGCCTCAGCCTCCTGAGTAGCTGTGATTACAGGTGCCTGCCACCACATCTGGCTAATTTTTGTATTTTTCACCATGGTGAGACAGGGTTTCACCATGTTGGCCAGGGTGGTCTCAAACTCCAGACCTCAGGTGATCCACCTGCCTTGGCCTGCCAAAGTGCTGGGATTACAGGTGTGAGCCACCATGCCCAGCCTGTGACCAGCTCTTAATGGCTATTCAGGTCTCATTTCCAATGTCGCTTCCTCAGAGAGACTTTCTCTGCTCATCAATCTGAAGGTACCAATAAATCACTTACTATGAGATTATCCTTTTATAATTATTTGGTTCATTTTAATATCTGATTTTTTCTTAATAATCCATGCATCCCTTTATTCTTTCTCTCATTTTTTATCTGCCACACTAGAATGTAAGTTTATAGGAGACATCTAAGCCTGTAGAATATGGGAGTATATTCCATATCTACCTTGTTCCCTGCTCTATCCCTAGTGCCCAGAAAAGTGATTGGCATATTCTAAGCATTTTATTAGAATAAATACATGATTGATAAGGTCTATGGTAACCATTACCACCCATGATAGAATTGAACTTCTTGGCTTCCTCGTAGTTAGGTTTATCCATATGACTAGTTTAGGCCAAAAAGTTGAGAGCAGAAGTGATCCATATCACTTCTGGGTCAGAACATTTAACACCAATGCAAGAATTTCCAGAGCTCCCTTTCTTTCTGTCATGTGACTATTTGGGTAATCCACCAGTCTGTCCTAGAATGAGGACAATAATGAAGTGGGAAAAGAACTACCAATCAACCCACAATAGACACATACCATGAGCAAGAAGTGTTTATTTGTTGTTTTAAATCACTGAGATCTTGAGCTTTTGTATTATACAGCATAATCTAAGCTGCCATGATTAGAACAAGAACTATTTTTGCATCTTAGTTAGATGACTAAATTTAATAACCCAGTATAAGTATACTATAAATATTTCAGTGCAAACTTTAAACATGAGTCTTTTACAGGACTCAATCCTTATCTGTACAGCAGATGAGCATCTGCTAACCTCTCAAAATTAGATTGACCATTGTGAGATCAAAATATGTATCTGAGACTGAAACTTGTGGACAAGTTAAATTACTAATGAACAGTAATTCTGTATTTTAATGTCACTCTACATACATAGTAAATCAAATCAAATGAAAGCTTAGAGAAGATAGAGAACTGAATTGCCATATTAGGAAATGTTTCATACGTGTATTTCCAACTTTACACTGTCATGTCATCATGAAATTAGTGTGAAAATCAAGTAACATTTTAAATAAACTCTGCCAGCTCATTGAAAGGATTCTAAATAAAATCCTTCATGCTATAAATGAAAAGCCAATTTTCAACAGAGACTTAACATCTATTGTCAAAATAAGGTATAGCTTTATATACTTCAGGCTTTATTCATATAAGGTATTCTATAGTTGGTGTGTTCATCCCCTTCAAAATTTATGTCAAACTTTAATTGCCATTGTAACAGTATTAAGATGTGGGACCTTTAAGAGGAGATTTGCCCATAAGGGAAGGCTATACTCTCTTGGGTGGGATTGGTGCCATTATAAGAGGGCAAGTTCAGCCCCCTTTTTTTCCCTCCCTCTCCCTGTCTCTAGCCTTCTGCCATGTGATGACACAGCAAGAAAGCCTTTGCCAGATTCTGGCCCCTTGATCTTGAGCTTTCCAGCTTCCACAACTGTGAGCCAATACATTTCTGTTCATTCTTAGTTACCCAATCTTAGATATTCTGTTATAGTGGCACAAAACAGACTAAGACAAGATCTAACTATGACTTATCATATAAGTATTTCATTCAGTATAAATACAAATTGTAAAACATATTAGTTCCAATTCTCAAATTCCTAGTATGATCAGATAAAAGTCATGGAAACATTAAATAAATTGAGCAGTTTTTCTCAAGGCAAAAGGTATCTGTGATGACTTAACATTGAGTGTTTAGCAGCATAAATATATTGAGATTGAATCAGGCAAAGATCACTCCAACTGTTGAACTATTGGGTAAGTGGAGGGGGGCATTTAAGGAAGGCATTGCTACTGGTGATGTTTATCTCAACCACATACCCAACTGCACTATATGTGTTAGCATTAACTTTTTAAACCATTCAGCATGGTTGCAAAATTTCAGCAGAAGTAGGACACTTGTTTGCTAGAATTTCATTTATTTTTCAAATTATTGAAGGCTGTCATCTGTATAAATTTACAGAGAATCTAGGACACTTGAAAACTTGAGTGAAGTTTAAAACATTTTTTAAATTTTTAAACAGTCAATTGTATTGGGACAGGGCAAACAAGATTAGGCTTGAGGCATGAGATTGCAGGTAAAGTTGGAGATGAGCAAAATAAGAAGGAAAGCATAGAGGGGAGGAAAGGGAAACAAAAATAAGAAAAAATGGCCCTTGAGGGGAAATTTATTACTTATTCTTCTGTATCATAATTTGATAACTCAGGAATGTTCAAATTCACTGTACCAGTATTTCCCAAACTTGAAAAGAAATGTACATGTCCTTTGATGAAGTTTTGAGGGTCAATTCTCAGCATGTCAGAAGTCTCCCTCCCTTATCTTTTTTCTCAAAATACTTTGTAATGACACATTCTGCAGTCCAGAAGTGCTGTGGAAATAACTGTTTGTGCTTATGAAAAGCTAGTATGAAGCTTTAAAAATAGGTTAATAGTCAAAACATAAATAAAGCGTAAATTCTCTTTTTAAATTTTCTAAAACAATGGCAGAGAAGGGATTTAACTAAAAATGTTTTAAGGGCTATGATAGTTAATATTAATACTAATGTAATTATTGATATGTATGCATACAATCTACCTGTCAAGAGAGAGGTCCCTGAGTATATTGAGACAAAGGGAGTGGATATCCCATAACAATGTAGAGATGATGGAGCTCAGAAAGATGCCCCTTTCAGTTCAGGTTCTGGCCATCATTGCACTTAATTTAACCACACATAAATAAGTGAAAATGAGGTTTGAGCAAGCCACTCCCAAGATGAGCCTTTCCATAGGCCTTGGTATTCCTTGAGAAATATCCTTACTCACTGAATCCCTATTACTACTCAGCCCATGAGCCCGGGAAGTTACAGAGAGTATTCGCATAAACTATGGAAAGCTCCATTCTTTATCAACCTTAACAAACTGAGTCAGAAGAGGATTTCCTTTCTTATTTTCCTTTAGTAAATAGAGATAGGAAAATTTAAAGCAACAGCAAGAAGAAAGCACCAACTATAGTCTGAATGTTTATGTTCCCCCAAATAAATATGTTCAAACCTAATATCCAAGATGATGATATCAGGAGGTGGGGCCTTTGGGAGACTATTAGATGATGAGGTTGGAGCCCTCATGACTAGGATTTGTCTGTTAGAAAAGAGACCCCAGAGAGCTCCCTTGCCATTTCTATCAAGTAAGGACACGATGAGAAGACACCATCTATGAATGAGAAAATTGGCTTTCATCAGACACTGAATCTTCTAGTGCCTTGATCTTGGACTTCCCAGCCTCCAGAACTATGAGATATAAATTTCTGTTGTTTATAAACTGGCTACTCAACCTATAGTACTTTTTTATAGCAGCCCAAATGCTTTAAGATAACACCTCTTACAAAAATCAAAGCTTTGTTTTTAGCTTGCCCTTATATAGGATTAAGGTATAATTGACACTTAGGGAAAAAGCTAATAGCCCTTAATTAGAGTTTTTAATTCAAATTCAAGACTAACGCCTTTTAAAAGAAGAAATGCTTGAAAAGCACTGCTTTAGCTCACTAATGACCACTCCAGTGACTTTGTCTGAAGAGCTAACGTTTCAATTCTGGTAATAGAAAAAGTAACATATACGTATAGTCAGCCTTCCATATCCACAGGTTCCACATCTGTGGATTCAACCAATCACAGATCAAAAATATTGGAAAAATAACAATACAACAATAAAAAATACACATTTTAAAATACAGTATGACAACTGTTTACATTGTATTAGGTATTGTAAGTAATCTGGATATGATTAAAGTATATGGGAGGATGTGTGTAGTTTATATCCAATACTATGCCAGTTTATATAAGGTATTTAAGCATTTTCAGATTCTAGTATCCACAGAGGCTCCTGAAACGAATTATCTGTGGATACTGAGGGAAGAATGTATATTCATGAGTAAAACTGATTTCCTATGATGACACAAAGTAGTTAAGTGAATAATATGAGGTCTCTCAATTGAAGCTCTAGATGAACTTCAGCACCAAACTTTGGTCCTCATTAGCATCACTGTCTGAATGAACTATTAATACTTCCTCACATCCAGGCAGCTTTCCACCAGTTATGAGTTTCTAACTCATTTCTAAATTTCTAACTCATTTCTAAAACATTTCTAGAAAAAGAAAGCGTAAGGCTTAGGCCAACTCTTTCGCTTCCCATGGGAAATTTCCTTGGTGAAAGCAGTAACTGGTTGATGATTAAGTCCATGTCTAATTATCACTTGTGCCTGGAAGCATCACAGACAATTCCATTACAGGAAGCCCAAATATCAATGTGGTCACCACAGAAAGCTGCCAGTTAAAGCCCTGTAATGTCTCTCACTTAACACCTTTTCTCCCCAAGGCTTCTGTCAATGTTCCACCCTACCATTGCTGACAGAAGGGATTAGAGGTCACACAGGTTTTATAGTTTTCATTGATTTCTTGAATGGAAATAACAGATGCTGTTAATGAAGCTCCCTGTGAATATACACACAAGGTAATCCCATAGCATCTTGCTTGGGGGTGACATGTAAACTCTGCTGCTCTGAAATAAAGCTCCTGTGTACCTGCCAGCAGCAACAGGGTGCAGCAGTTTAATGTTTACCCCGGAGGAAAGTTTCATCTGACTGTCAGGGAAATACTTCCCTTCTAACAACCTCTGTTATCTCCCTCAAACCAAAAAAAAAAAAAAGTATAGAGTTTTAACTTTAAAAAGACCTTTAAAAAATCTATGCAATAGAATATGTCGAATATAATAATATCCTAATAGAAAAAAATAAGCACGTTAATTACTAGCCCATCCTGTTCTTTAAGAGATGTTATCTCCAAATACAAATCTTGTTAGCACCATTTGCTTTAAAAATCTGATGACCTCATTACCTATAGTTTGTAAACTGATAAACCTAGGCAAGTTTTAATAAACTAAATTACTACTATTTTAGTTCATAGTACAAACTTAGAATAAAGATAGACTAAAAGCTTTTCTCTGATATAAAATCTGAGGGAAAAAATAGTAAGATAAAACACTTCCTTTCTCAACAGAGATTTGTTCCCCTGGAGTACTGTTTAATGATATTCTGTATTCAATATTTTCATGGACTAAACATATCATAGACAACAGTCTTCTCTACTCCCATTGTTTTTGTTAGCTTGAGGGGATAGAGCAACTAAGGCTTTATTCAATAAAGAGGAGAAAATATTGGAACTAAAATAATAATGTATTAATAACATGTTCAAGTGTATGGAATATAGTTCTTCAAAGCATCGTGGCCCACTCTTTAACTTTCCATACATCGGAGAAAAAGGAAATGTCTAAAATTACGGTGTATAAAATATGTTTGTGATCCCATGTTAGGAAAAACATTTTGAGTTGATGGGAATCAATCAACATTAATTACCAAAGTTGTTTTTAAAAATCTTTTTTATCTGGATATCTTTTTGAATAAGTCTAGATCTGAAGAGAAGAGACAATTGTGGGATAATACACTATAATGCTTTCCAGATTGAAATAAGAATCATCATGATTTCCATATATTTAAATCTCATCCAAAATATTTTGCTTTTTCCTTGTATTTATTGCTCAGATATGTCAGTATATTACTACTTTGTTATATTTTTGAAGAGAAGAAATATTTCTTCAATTTGCTTCTATAATTTTCAAAATATTTTATTTTAGATCTAGACTTAATCCAAAAATGTCATTGTCATCTACCGGCATTAACGTGTCATAGGTACAAAATTCCTAGTAGATACAATAAATTAGCTTATATAGTAAATTACAGTCAGCCCTCCATATTCACAGGTCCAGCATCCATGGATTCAACCAACTGCAGGTCAAAAATGTTTTAAAAATTAAAGAGTGCAATACAATACAATAATAACACAATAATAATATACAATAATAATAATACAAATAAAAATTAATGCAGTAGAACAACTATCTACGTAGCATTGACATTGTATTAGGTATCATGAGTAATTTAGAGATCATTTAAAGTATATGGGAGGATGCACGTAAGTTATATGGAAATATTATGCCATTTTATATAAAGGACTTGAGCATACTCGGATTTTGGTATCTTCAGGAGTCCTAGAACCAATCCCCTGTGGATACTGGGGGAAGACTGTAAAACCTATTTTTATATTTTGGTGTGCGTGCATGCGTGCATGTGTGTGTGTGTGTGTGTGTGTTTAATCCCTGAGATAGAAAAGCTACTTTATTTGGAGGTGAAAGTCATAGGATTTAGGTCAGACTCTTCAATTATTATCTATTCAATTTTGAGCAAGTCATTTAACATAAGTCTCAGTATTTTCAAGGTGTTAGAAATAATAATGGCCACCCTGACATTTCATAGAGTTGTTGTGAAAAGAAAACTACTGATGAAGAAGTGCTTGCAAACTTCCACATGCATGGATCTAAAGTGATATTTTTAAATATTTATTTATATGATGCTTACTTGTATGACCCACAAATCTTATGTAATTGCTTCATGTTTTTAATTTAAGATCTTCTAAACCTTCAACTATTGTCAAACTTCATTGGGTTTATAAATTTTTAAAGTATGTAGTAAATGACACACGTGAATACTGAAGAGATTAGAAATCACTTTAATTATACTTTTTAATGAATTTTATGTTACGTTTTCTTTCCTAACAATGCTCAGCAATATATATATTTTTTTCTACTAGAATCAGAAACAAATCAAAGGAAGTACTTCAATTCGGTATGCCAACATTATATTTTGGTTTTAAAATTGTTATTACTAAGAGACAATGAAAGTTAATATCATGAGATTCAACTATGTGTACAGTAGTATTACAGTACAAATTACCAGCAATCTCTCTCTCTCTTTCTCTCTCTCTCTCTCTCTCTCTCACACACACTTTTTTCTGCTTTCAATGAGCAACTTGAGGCTTCCTCTTTCCTTTTATTACCACCCCCAATATTCAATCCTTTTAAGTCTTGTCTGCTGCACTGCCAAACCCCTTCCTCACTGCCTCCACCCTATTCAAATTGCCATCACTGCCCACCCACAGTTCTGCAAGGGTCCCCCAATGGATCCCTTTGCTTCCACTTATGGCCCTCTTTAATCCATTCTCCAAAGAGCAGAATAAATAAAAATAAACCACATTACTCTTCCATTTGAAATCCTCCAATAGCTACTCTAGGTACTCAGAATAAATGAAAAATGTCTTAATTTAACATAGCCCCTATCCTTTACATAGTCTGCTCCCTGTCCCTTTCTTGATCTGATTTCATTTGTTTTCCTACCACTCCCACCGTTCTTCCTAAACTCCAGTTATACTGGTACATTCCTGGTTTATGCTGGTACATAAAATCATGCACTTGCTTTTTCTTCATGCCTAAAGTGTAGCATGAAGAGGCTTTATTCATCTCGTGTTGGGTGAGAATTTTAACATCATATTTTTCTTTCTCTAATCCTTTTCTACCATCTAGCCCAAATAAATAAATATACAATCTGATTAAAAGAAGGATATTTGTTATGAAATGATAGGTTTCTAGAATTTTCCTGGTATTCTCCTTAAAGAATGGATTCCTCAGACCTTCCTGTGTAAAAATTCTGAGGCAACTCTCCACTGCCTCTCTTGGAACAATCTCCACTGAGGTCTTTTCGTGGACTGCTCTTTTACATCATCCACGTATTAATTCAAATACCATCTTGTCAGTAAGGCCTTCACCAACCAACCATTCTAAACGTTGTAAGTTACCCTCTTTATATCATCTTTTGTTTCTTGTTGGCTGCTACATCTGTAGAATATTGCCACTCACACAATAGATACTCAAATATAAATCGAACACATGCTGGCATTTTGATTTGTGTACATATATGAGAACTCAACTGATGAGTACATAAGCATCATGCTGTAATAAAACCATAATATGCTTTCATAAGCAAAGGAATTCTCTTTTTTAAAAATTTCCTTTAACAGGATCAAAGCTAATTGGTTAACGAATTCTATTTCTTTATAGGCATGAAGAGGGAAGAAAGAAAAGTCAAATAATTCCCCCAAATACTTTTCAGGATTTTTTTGTTCATTTTCATTTCAGCTCTTTTATCTTGTATTTTAACTTCTTTTTTTCTTCCTTTAAGATAAAGGCAAGCTGTCAGGCAAATGAGTCTTCGAAACTGTTACTCACTTGGATTGTTTTAAGGCCAATTAAAAGGAAAATAGCAACAGTTACCAGCCTCCATTTCCCAAAGGGACAAGCCATGGTTCTGTGTTGTTTTATGGTGTGTATATGGAGAAACATACACATATTTTAGTTTCGAAGCAATAAATCTGGAAAACATTTTCCAAAGTCCAGTATGCTTACTGTGAATTATGTCAATATTTTAATGAAAATGTGAAAAGTAACTTGAGATTTTACAATAAGGTTTTTAAATTTTTGAATTTCTACTAATATGCAAGCAAGCTTTCTACATCAAAATTAGCTCCAGGTCACATTGTTTTTCAAGCAGGCATCACAACTTCAGCCATTTGACAGTTCAGTTTGGCATTTTCAACAAGAAACCTAACTTACTACTTGTCATTTACTATCTATAACCTCAGCAAATACCATCCAACTAGGCACCCTACTGAAATATCCTGCATCCCCACTTTGTCTTCTCAGCCACTCTTGAGCTTCTCTACTTTGGGATATTATTTTGAAACATTCAACATGACATATTTCTTAAGCTTCTTGTCAGACACAAAGGAATGCCAAAAAACATTACAGTACTTTACATTAAGTTTCATTTTAAAAAATCTGATACTCCTGTTTTATATTCATTTTCTCATTTATGATTAATAATGGTATTTTTTCTTTCCTAAATAAAAAAGAAAAATCTTTACCCAATTTTACAAAGATAGCAAGAAAATGTTCATTCATTCCAAAATGTATTGATAAGTTTATTAAGGAATTACAAATGTGCTAGGTGCTGTGGGGAATCCAGATGTGAATCTCTCTTGTTTTCTTATGTTGTTTCTTTATTATTCCATTATATAGAGGAAAAATAAGATATGTAAATAAGTATAATTCAAAGTAAAAAGTAAACTGATTTCTTCTGCCTCCTTTAAAATGCAGTTGAATATGAATGAAGAAAATCACAAAATTGATTTGAGAAATTTCCATTTCAAATCTCATTTGGCTACAGAAGAGTACCCCATGAAATGATCTGTTTCTGCAATAAGTTCTCTTTCTCATTCTCAAGACAACTCTCATAGCTTCTTTTACCTCCAGTCTCCAGGTCTACTTCCTGCACCTCCTACACTGGAAAGCCTTAACTACCACTTCTTTGATAAATTGATCAGATTCTAGATCTCTTACATTCCCACAGCCAAATCTACATTCTGCATGCACCTGCATCTATCTTCTCTTTTCATAATAAAATGAAGGACTGTCACTCCTCTTTTCTAAGGCTAGTCCCTTCTCACTTGTTCTCTGGGTCTAATCCTTAGAGTCTTCCTGAAAACTATGCTGATTTGACTATTCCCTCCCTCTTACATCATTGATCTTCATCTCCTTACTGGATAATTGCTACTAATGTACAACCTGTTCTTCCAAATTAAAAAGAGAAATCTGTCTCAATGCCACATTGTTCACTAACTTCTGCCCTATTTTTGGCTTTCTTCTATAGTTAAATTTAATTTTTTCCCTCACTTTTGAACTTTAATTCATAATTCCACTATGACAAATCTTGCTGTCACTCTCAACACTCCCCAATCAGTGCCCTTGCCAAAGTTTCTGATGATTTTCATGTCAAAATTAGTAAATACTTTTCCATGTTTTCCTAGCCTCTCGGCTGCATCAGACACTGTTTAACAGTCCCTCCTCCTTCTGTAAAACCAAATTCTTCTTTCTTGTTTACCTTACTAGTCCTTTCAGAGCGCCTTCTCTCCTCTCTCATATCTCCCTAGTTGATTACATCTATTTGCATTTTTAAAAGTGTATGTGCTGTGCATTCCCATTTGTGATTCTAGTCTTAACTCTCTTCTCTGAGCTCCAGACTCATAGCCAATTTCTCCCTGTCCCATCAATTTGGATCTCTAGTATACATTTCAAACTTGATTATGGCCTAAAATAATCTCTTGATTTTTCTAAGAAAATGTAGTTTCTTCCCAGCTTTCTTTATTTGGTTCAAGCCAAAACAACAACAACAAAAGAAATATCCTTTTAATCCTTTCACTGTTTCCTCCAATTCATGAGCGAGACCAGTCAATATTCATATATAGTCTGCCCACTTTTCTCCTTTTCCACTAGTTTTTCTCTGGCTTAGGTTATCAGTGCCTCTTCCTTAGAGGCAGTAGAGGCAACAGCCTCATAACTGCTCTACTTCTACTCTGATAACTCTCCACACAACAGGAAGAATAATATGTTCTTCCAAACTTACTTGTATCATTCCTTTTCCCCAACACAGAACTGTGATGGAGAGGGAAGAGATATTTGAAGAGGTCTTGAAAGATATTCAAATTTTGACTCTTGAAATTTAGAAAAAAAAAAAATTTCCAGGACAACAAATCAGCACTGGCAAAGACATGGAAGTGGACAAGCATAAGAAGGTACCTACAGAAGAGTGAGAGGTTTTATTTCCTTATATCAGAAAGCACATCAAAAGAAGTAGTAGGTAATAAGGTCAGGGTTAGAGCCAGGAGACAGCTTCACATTTTCTGTTTAGGTATTTGGAATTTGTTTGGTAATTTCATTTTATGCTCAATAGTGGAAAATGAAATGAAACTGGTTTTCTGCTTGTGATTGATAAGCAAAAAGATAGAGTAATATAAAATATATGGAGGTTATATGCTTAAAGTGTAAACCAGTCATAAGAACCTGACATGCCTCAAGAGTGTGTGTCTTTATCTCGTAAAGAATCTCACTGGCTTCCACTTCTTTGGAGATTAATAGATTGTAAAAATAAAATACTTCTGCCTCATCTATTCTTTTTCTTTAGGAGAGGGAGAAAATCTTATTTCTAATTGGCATAATTGAAAATCCACTGTCAGCGTGTTTCCTATGCTTTCTTTTATCATTTGTGAGATGATTGAGAATACATACTTTTCCATTTATTAGAAATGTTATTATGGCTGGGTGAAGTGGCTCATGCCCAGCACTTTGGGCAGATCACCTGAGGTCAGGAGTTCGAGACCAGCCTTGCCAACATGGTGAAACCCCACCTCCACTAAAATACAAAATTTAACCGGGCATGGTGGAGGATGCCTGTAATCCCGGCTACTTGGGAGGCTGAGGCAGGAGAATTGCTTAAACCTGGGAGGCAGAGCTTGCAGTGAGCTGATATCGCACCACTGCACTCCAGCCTGGGCAACAGAGCGAGACTCCATCTCCAAAAAAAAAAAAAAAAAAAAAAAAAAAAAAAAAAAAAAAAAAAAAAAAAAGTTATGATGGCCTGGACGTTATGTGCTAAATTTTGTCCACTTTTTAATAAATAAATATGTAAGCAACCTTCTTCCAATGATGCAAAACTCAACATCTTGTTTCCAGGATCAGAATGTATGGTCAGTTTTCAAAACTGGTTATGGGTTATGTTACACTTTGGCCCAGTTTATCAGAGGGATGTATAAAAGTGAGAGGAAAGCAAACATCTCCCAAATTCTCTCAAAAACTTTGTTGTCTTCATTGCTTCTATGCCTGAAATGGATCATCACTGCTGATCACCTTCATCACCTCTCTTCTCCATATTTCAAAGCCTTTGGGAAATAAAAAATCATTTCACCTTAAAATAAATATTGGGATGAATTAATTAAGGCAGACATTCTGAATTGAACACAAGGGTATCTGTGATTGTTGTGTAATACTGTGTGATGTAAATATATTGAAAATTAATAACTGAGTCAAGCATCAAGTCAATTCACAACCTTTCACTCCTTAGAGCTTTGGGCACTCAGTAAAGCAATTAACACTTTGGAGGTCTGTGGCCAAAAGGTACCCTTTGGGAAACACACAATCAACAGGGCTGTGAGTCTGTTGAGCAGTTTTAGAATTCCAATTAAACATTTCAAAGAAAGTCAATTTAATTTCAAATAACTGTATTGGCAAGACTAGGTATATGCAAACTGACAAAGTCAATATATATTACATGCCATGGGGTAATTTTCACAATTGCAAGAACATATATAAAAAGAAAAATATTGTTTTCTCCATAACTTCAAGGCCATTGTAAACAAACAGGCAACCTCCTTCACACAAGACATTTTCTTTAAAGTTTAATAAGGCCCACATTTCTTTTCCAAGATACAAAATTTTATTTATCCTCTTATCTCTGGGCTTCATACATCCAGTTGTATAGGTATATGTGTCTGTGTGTGTGTGTTTTAATTACATGTAGATGGAATTTCAGTTTTGTAATTCCTTATTACTGCAGAGATGAGCAAAACAAATTGGCCATTGGTATACCCACTAAAATATCTCTAAAATAAGAATAAATAGTAAATATCTAGGATTTATCTTGGATCCCTTCCTGCCACCATTTTTATCAGTTCTCATAGTGTCAAGTATTTTTTTTTTAAATAGTACATTTTTTATAATTAGGACATGCTTCTTTGAAAAAATATGTCAAGGATTACTTCTGACGGCCTAATATCTCAGCAAAGATTAGAAAGAGCCCTTGCTATCATCATCTTTCTAAGTGTAGACCCTGCAAAAAGTATACCTGAAAAGATTCCAGAAAATGTGTTCATATTTCTTCTGCTTCCACAAATAATGTAGAAAAGATTAAGTATGAAAGGCAGTATAAAATGTTAATTAAAAAAAGATAAAACCAGTTAAAAGGCACAGAGAAACAGATGTGTCCAGCCCCTTGGGAAGAGCTCAGTAATAAAAGATTGTTATTGTCTTCTTAACTAACTTTTCACATGATTATCTTTTCCACAATCTCAGAAATCCAGGAATTGAAAGAATCTCAAAAGTCTTCCACTCTATTTTTATGGGGAAGTAGGAGACCAAGAAAACTGTTTTACCTAGAATTATACAACTGAGATCAATCGTCATTATTTTTAAAGGATCTTGAAACTTTATAAGATTAAAAGGGATGCCAATGGTGTGGAGTAAAAAGATCCTGGACTTAGGAGTTAGGCATCGGCCGGGAGCTGTGGCTCATGCCTGTGATCCCAGCACTCTGGGAGACCTAAGCAGGTGGATCACTTGAGGCCAGGAGTTCAAGACCAGCCTGGCCAACAGGGAGAAACCTCATCTCCATGAAAAATGTAAAAATTAGCCAGATGTGATGGTATAAGTTCGAATTCTGGGTTGCTCGTTCCCTAGGTAATTGAGTTATCTAATCTCCTGAGCCCAAATTTCTCCAGATGTAAAATGTGAATTTTAATGTCCAGAGTTGCAGTAATGTCATGAGTATAACATTCATTCAGTTATTTTTTGCAACTATTATATATAAGGACTTTATTAGATGTCAGAATTTGAGTATATGAGACATAGTCCTCAAGAAGCTCGTAAGTCCAATTGAGGGGATGCGATTTTTTAAAAAATACAAGGTGAGAAGTGCTTTAATAACGTTTTCACAGGATGCCATATTATTTGACGGGGCTAGATAATGGCCTCGATAGTCAAGGGTGGCAGAAACTGCTATTGTAAGATGCTCACATTCAATCCCTCATCATTCCATAATAATTAAACCCCCAATTTTCAGAGGAACATAAAGAATCCCAGAATATAAACCATAAAGCTTCCCAGCCTCTCTCATGCAAGGTGTGACCATATGACTAAGTTATGACAAATAGATTATAAGCAGGATAGATCTGAATAAATTTCTAATTATGTATTTATAGAGAAAGCCATGTCCATCCCTTTCCTCCTTTCTTCTATCCTGCTTGGAACACAATCATGCTATAGAGACATCTTGGATAATGTCAATGAGAGAGAACTGTAGGGGTGGTGAAGCAATAACGTATTAGGAGCCTAGTTTTCTCAATAACTTCAATAAGCAGAACCACCGTACCAACCTTAATAGTCTATCCCCAAAACGATATATGAGAAAGAAATATGCTTCTGTCTTATTCAATATATTTTCATTTAAGATCTCTGTCAAATGCAACTGTAGTTGAAGAGTATGGGCTTTATCCAAAATACAATGGGAGTCAATAATAGGGTATCTTTCTTTTTTTTTTTTAAGAAGGCAATTTGGTCAGCCTTCCCTTTTGAAAGTTCACTCTTGATTCAGTATACAGAACTTATAGTGGGGGGTCATAAGATAGGAAGGGAGAAAATTTAGATTACTTCATTAATTGGGAAGAGAGATTTGGTAGAAGCAGTGGACATAGAAAAAAACAGAAAAACTCAAGAAATAATAGATCTCTAGAAATAAAAATCTAATTAGGTATACAGGAAAGCAAGAGACTCAGGTTTTTTCTTATACAACTAGGTGGGTGGTAGTATTATTCACTGATATAATTAATGCAGAATTTAATGTATTCATTTAGTACACTTGGTACATAATAGACTGTCAAGAAATGTAGCTATTATTTTGTCAATTTACTGATTATTGCTATGCTTTACAGATTTGCTAAGTAAAATATTGGCTTTATCCTATTTAAAATATCTAGTGGGGGTCATACAAGACAAAGTCTGGAATTCTTTGAGATTCAACTTGACATGGATATATCATTTAAAAGCCCAAGTCCCATAAATAAAAATGAAATTCTACAGCTTATTTGGAGCACAGACTGTTAAGAACTGTGAGGGTTCTGAGATTTCACCCCACTTTCAAGTTAACAAGTTATCCTGTCCCAGTTTTTTTAATGCTGGCAGAAGACATGAGACACCTGAATCAGAGGCAAAGGCTTTATTACTCTCAGCAATAGCAGTATCCAGAGCATCAGTATTTCCTCACATTGGTTGCATTTTGTAGTTCGCACAAAATGCTGTGAGGAGGGTCAATTCTGATGACACCCTCACCTGCAGTGCAAGGGAGAATCTCTAAGCTGAGGAAACCTGAATGTTTTGTACTACACCATAAGCAAGCATAGGTTTTACTCTGGAGGGAGGCAGTATCTCTGTCTTCCAAGGATATATGTTTTCAAGGAAAACATTATTGAAAAGAGAGATCAGAATAGATGCATTCAGTGTCTCATTTGCAAAATTTAAAGAAATGCAAGAGACCTATGGAGAACTGTCTCCTGATACTCACTAGACACTGAGACCTACCTATACCTCCTAGGTAATAGGGTTATAAAATCTTACGTAGTGACATATTTGCCTTTCCTTGCATACTTTGGCTAAGATTATATTCTTAAAATACATTTTGTTTATATTGGATAATTCAGCACTTTGGTAGTTAAATTTGACTAACATTTATTACAAGCTTGCCTGGAGCAACATGTCATGTTCAGTACTATTGTAAATAGAAAGTTGAATAACATGGTTCATATTCTCTAGATACTCAGTCTAGTGGAAGATACAGGCATCTAAAACCTAATGTAAAGACATGCTATATAACGGAAGTAGAGAAAATTATGGGATAATAGAAGAGAACAATACTGATCTTAAAGAAGGCAGAATTTGAGATGGAAAAAGAATGGATAGATCTTAAAGGGATGGATGGACTCATTGGTATGGGGCAGTAGAGAATGAAAAATGGGTTTAAAGTCGACCACACTGACAACAATATAAAGAATAGTTTAGAGAGAATACTGGAGATAGTGAGATCCCTCTAGCTACATCTCTAGCTATTGTTCCAGACAAAGCGTTAATGGCAATTTGAATTAAGGCAGTATTAGTGTCATTAGAAAAGAAGAATTCACTGAAGAGACGGGAGAAGCAATTGTGATCTCAATGTGTTGGTTAGGATAAGAGAAAGGGGGAAATTAAAAATAATCCAGATAAGATCAGTAAAATGACCAAATCATTCTGGTTTAGGGGCTACTTCTGCCTGGGTTTATGACCTAACTTGAGCATTCTACATATTCGTTCTTCCCTATGCCCAATGTTTGGTTTAGAGATGGGTCTGTGATGCAAGTCAGTCTGCCATACTCAAATCTAGGACTTTGGCTTGAACTGTTAGAAGCAAATTTTTTTCTTTGTGCTGGTCATTGACATGTTGTTAACATTGGAGCCTTGAGTGGTAACACAAAGAAAAAGCAGATTGGGAGGAAAGTCATCTGAAAAATAAAAAATAAAACAAGTAAATAAATAAAAAACATGATTAAGAGGTAAAGAGAGATGGTGACATAACTTGAGATTTTTAAACCATCCATCCTGCAAATGAATGACACTGCTGAATTTTTCAGTCTTGGGAGCCAATCACCATATTTAAGTTGTGTTTCTTTCATTTGTAACTGAAAATGTTCTAACTGAATCAAGGCTGCCCCACTTGAAATGTACAGGATTTTAGTCCATCCAACAGGATTTCTATAGAAAGTTTTGCCTCAGTAAATACAAGGTTGGACTACATGATATCTAAAGTCTCTTCCAATCCCAAGTGTCTATGGCAGATTGAATTTTTAAAAGAACAAGCAGGAGAGTTGGAATCTATTGGCATTAATACTATATCTATGAAACATAGCTTTGGAAGCATCTTTGCATTTTCCATACTACATTTAAATACAGCAAAACCTATTCCATAGAATGTGTATAGATGACTCTCTGTACTCTTTAATTATATAACAGAATGTAAGAAGAATGTTGAGAAAAAAATCAACAATATGATGAAACATCATCAGCATAGTGCAATGAGGAACGTAGTCAGTCCCCTCTATATACACATCAATCATGGCAGAACCAGAAATGGATATGTAGCCTTGTTGGGAAGTACCTCACAGAATTGCTTTAGAACACTGAGTCATAAAGCTCTTAGCTTAATGAGTTGGTAACATTTTGCAAATTTGCTTAAAACACGTTGCTTTCCAGACTATGTTAACAGATTCCAACAGTTCTTGCCAACACACTCATCCTAAACAATTACATTAAGATCCATAAGGCCGTGTTTACAGTTCTGAGGAGCAAATGTATTGTTAATGGGCCATAAACTATCCTCTGACTCAATAGTTTGGCTCTTTGAAATTTGTGTAATAGTCAACGGAAAAATTCCAACATCTACTTGGCATGGAAGTGGAATTAGCTTCAGGGATATAAAACTAAATGCTGAGAAGCATCTCTTCCCCACATTTCTGATCTGATGTGCTTTTCATATAAAATAAAACAATTTACACAAAAACTTGAAAGAACATCATCGCCACAGTTTAGAATCGTTTTATATGTTATAGCAAAAAGTAAATAATCATGATGAGCCATCAAAACTCCCATGTGTACAATATTCTCAGTATTCTCTCAGACTGTTTTTCAAATCTCTTGTGAAATGGCTGCATCAGTGAGTCACAAATAGTCTGTGAGCAGACATTAATTGCAGCTTCATGCTTGTCATGCCTGTTGTTATCTGAGACTGTTTTCAGGCTGCCAAAAATCCAGTTGTGCCAAACTACTGTTTTTATCTTCCTATAAAATTCTGTGACTGCCTCTCATACCTGTTTTCCATCTTCTTATCTTCCTCTTATTTTGCCTCTTTCTCTTCTGTTATCTCTCTATAGTTCTGCTACATTCCCTCCTCACTCCAGGCATTCTTCTTGTTTTAAGCTAACATCTCTCAGTTCCTTCTTTCCAGATGGATCCACTTTCTCTTGCTGATAATTTCCATTCATCTTAATACACTTTTAAAATTAACCCAAATCATGCTTTGCCTGCCTTTTTCCTTGTTTAGTTTTATTTTTTTTCAATCTCAGGTTTCTTTCCATTTTTCCCTTCTTTGTAACCTTTCAATGATTAAATCATTTGACATTTATATATAATAATATGCAACTTTGCACAAGAAATTATTTGGGTTACTATATAGATGTGAAGATGTCTAGATTCAGATATCAAGGACATTTTTATGTCTAAGAGTAGCTATGTCACAAGAATATCCTTGGCATAAATAAACACTCTTTTTTTCTGGGTCTGTGAGCTGATGTGTGACAAATACAGAGAATAATATTTTTCTCTCACTTTAGCAACTTCTCAGAAGTTTAGAAGAAGTGGAAAATAGCCTTTGACCTTATGCATGCCTTGTGTTCCTACAGTAGAAATAGTGATGGACATCATGTTGTATTTTAGGCTGTTAAACTGAGAAAGCAGCCGAAATGCCAGCTTTCATAGTCCTGGTCCCTGGCATACAGCTTGTCTGAGACTGATCGTAAAGACAATAATAATAATATCTAATGTCTATTCTATACTTTGTACATATTAAGCACAATTCCAAGCATGCTTTAAAGCATTATCTCATTTATACAACTTTTAAAGATAAGACCAATTATTATTACCACTTCATAGGTGAGGACAACAAAGCACAAAGCTTAAGTAACTTTCAAAAATATGCAGTCAATAAGCAGTGGATTCAGATTTCAAATCCAGGCAGTCTGATTCTAGGACCCATACTCTTAACCACAAAATGAAATGATAGGACTCAAGGAATTTCCTGAATCCTCCATTCTCTCCCTTATCTTGCATCCTCTATCCAGTCCTACCACAATGTGCCCTTCTCAAGAGGCCTACGCCAATTAACACACTTAAAATTGCAGCATACCTGTCCATCAAAATTTTTTATTCCTTACTCTGACTTTTAGGGCCCAGAATAAATCACTCACACTCTGGGCACCTCATGCCTTAGCCTTCTGATTGGAGGCTTCCTTAGGCTGATCCTGAGTGAGCTATAGTCAGTGTGTTTTGAAGAGTTCCAGGTCTTCATAGCACCTAGCTTGTATGTTTTTGTAATACTTTGAGTACATAATATCATAAATATATATTATCTGTCTCTGCAGGAACCAGATGAATCTGCCACTTACACTTATTAGATTGTGCTGTTGAACTAGTGGTTAATCTTCATGTGCAAGCAATACAATATAAGCTTAATGAAAGAATGGATAGTTTATTATAAAAATCCAGGTGTCCTCTTTTCATGCTCAGATATGCAATCAAACTTGTTCTGATCGATTTTTTAACTTGTTGAGGAAAACCTTATACCTAATCTCTGATGTGGAAATACCATTTATCTAAAGGCAAGAAATTCTGACTTTGGCTAGAAAGATACTAGTATTTTTGTAGTATTTGTACTACTTTTAGAATTCTTATAATAGAAGTAATTCTGGGCTGAAATTCCATTACCTGGGTTCTATAAATAATTCTAGTGCCAAGGAATTGTGTGACAATAAACATGTCATTTTTCTTATGCTAGCCTCAGATTTTTCTTCTATAAATGTAGCTAATTCAACTTGGATGATATCTAAGTTTCTCACCAATTCTCAAATTCAGATATTGATTATCTGAAATACTCATATAAACTAGAATTTAGTGGTCCTAATAATTGCATAGGGTAATTGCATATTTATGTGACTTTACATGAATTATAAGTAGGATGACTCTTTTTATTTGCATGGAACAGTCCCAATTTGCAACATCTCCTTATAATTATTAGCAGCACCTCCTTTTACTCTCAAAATTGTCCTAGTTTTTATAATAAATTATAAATCACCCTAGGTTTAGCTTTGTCTTTGGAATATGTAGCATGTTATTCCACATGTATAAAAAACATAAGTCTACACAAAAATGTGCACGTGGATGTTTATAGAAGCTTTATTCATAATTGCCACACTTAGAGGCTACCAAGATGTTAGCCAGTAGGTTAATGAATAAGTAAATAATGATACATTCAGATAATGGAATATTATTCAGTGCTAAAAAAGAAACAAGTTATCAAGTCATGAAAAGACATGGAGGAATCTTAAGTGCATATTACTAGGTGAAAGAAGTGAATCTGAAAGTGCTACATGCTGCAAAATTTCAACTAAATGACATTTTAGAAAAGATAAAACTGTGGAAACAGTAAAGGATCCATGGCTGCCTGCCAAGAGTTAGTAGGGAGAGAGGATGAAGAGGCACACAGGTACTTTAGGGAAGTGATATTATAATATTCTTTATGATACTATAATTGTGGATACATGTTATAGACTTGCAAAAACCCATAGAATGCACAACAGGAAGAATGAACCCTAATGTAAACAATGGACTTTGGGTGACAATTATGTGTCACTGCAAGTTCATCAATTTTAACAAAAGTACCACCCTGGCCTATCTGAATCTAAGGATGTCTCCTGCTGCTTTTGAAACTGTTAATGTCAGGTACTCATTACTATAGTTAGTAAAGAAAGACAGTTTCAAAATGCAGTGTAGCTCTCATATGATGCTTATGAGAATATGAGGTTTTATGGCTTTTGAGGAAACTAAATGGTACCATATACATTTAAGATCCACATACAATTCAACCCAGTGATTCCATGTTACAGATCAATTCTAGAAAAAAAAGTCACATTATATAAGAATATAAACACATACACAAGTACATCTGAACTATGTTTATTGATTTGATAGGATATTCATTATGTGAAGAAAATTAATAGGCATATGTATGATCCCATTTTTATAAAAATAAACAGGATAAGGAAGAAGATGATTAAAAAATAAAACCCATATGAAAATATCAAACTATCAGTAGTGGAATATTAAAAGAAAATGTAGAAAATAAAATACAATCAATAATATTACAAGATAAGCATCCCTAATTCAAAAACCCAAAGTCCAAATTGCTCCAAACCCAAAACATCCTCAGTGTCGACATGCCGCTGCAAGTAGAAAATTCTACCCCTGACCTGATGGGAAGGGTTGAAGTCAAATTGCAGTCAAAGCTTTGAAAATGGCAAACAGGAGGGCCAGGCATGGTGGCTCATGCCTGTAATTCCAGCATTTTGGGAGGCCGAGGCGGGCAGATCATGAGTTCAAGAGATTGAGACCATCCTGGCCAACACGGTGAAACCCCATCTCTACTAAAAATAGAAAAATTAGCTGGGCATGGTGGTGCGTGCCTGTAGTCACAGCTACTCGGGAGGCTGAGGCAGGAGAATCGCTTGAACCCAGGAGGTTCAAGTTGCAGTGAGCCAAGATCGTGCCACTGCACTCCAGCCTGGCGACAGAGCAAGACTCTGTCTCAAAAGAAAAAAAAAAAAAAAGAAAATGGCAAACAGTAAACGAAAAGGTGCTCAACATCACTGATGAGAGAAATGCAAATTAAGACTACAATGAGATATCACCTTCCTACAGTTAAAGAAGTGGCTTTTATCCAAAATACAGGCAATAAAAAATGCTGGCAAGGATATGGAGAAAAGGGAACCTTCATACACTGTTAGTGGGAATGTAAATTAGCACAGTCACTATGGAGAAGAGTATGAAGGTTTCTCAAAAAACTAAAAATAGAACTACTGTATGATCCAGCAATCCCACTCCTAGGTAAACACCCAAAGGAAAGGAAATCAGTGTATCAAAGAGGTAGTTGTATCCCATGTTTGTTGCAGCATTATTCACAATAGCCAAGATTTGGAAGCAACCTAAGTGTCCATCAACAGATGAATGGATAAAGAAAGGGTGGTACATAATACACAATGGAGTACTATTCAGCCATAAGAAAAAGAATGAGATCCTATCATTTACAACAACATGGGCAGAACTTGAGGACAATATGTTAGGTGAAATAAGCCAGGCACTGAAAGACACACTTTCCATATTCTTGCTCATTTATGGGAGCTAAAAATTAAAACATTTGAACTCTTGGAGATAGAGAGTAGAGTGACGGTTACCAGAGGCTGGGAAGGGTAGTTGGGAGAGGGGTGAGAAGTGGGGAAAGTTAATGGGTCCAAAAATGTAGTTAGATAGAATGAATAAGATGTAGTATCTGATAGCGCAACAGGATAACTACAGTCAACAATAATTTATCTTTGTACATTTTTAAATAACTCCAACAGTATAATTGGGATGTTTGCAACATAAAGAAATGATAAATGTTTGAGGTGATGGATACCCCATTTACCTTGATATGATTATTTCACATTGCATGTCTAAATCAAAAAATCTCATGTACCCCATAAATACATTTATTATGTACCCATAAAAATAAAACATATGTTTAATTTTATATATATATAATATATAATTCAAAAGAAAAAATAAGAATTATAATTATTAATCACTAGTATAGTATTAGGTTTTTATTCATTTTCCCCAAGTAAATAAAATCAGTGTTTTGAGTTTCTTGTAGATATGTTATTTAACATGATATCTGACAAAGTAAGAAGTTGATAAATATGAGTGATAAGCATTATGATACCGTATAATAAGAGAAAAATGTAAGAAAACTTTGGATCACCAGCAACCTTGCAAATATTACCACTGTTATATGAAGCCAAAATAAGAATTTTCTGATGCAGCATACATAAGTATCTGTTGAATGTGGTATGAAACTACAGTAAGAAGATAATGGTTAGCAAGATTGTATCAAGAACAAAATGAGAAAAGGGCAGTAGGAACAAATGAATGACAATAGAGAACAGACAAGTAATACAAAGTAATTTACTGTTTGCACCGACCGTCCAAAGAAACAAATGCAGGAATTGAGTCTTCCTGCTTTCCAGTGGCAACTTGAAAGAAAAGCAATCTTGGGAAACATTATAAACAAAATGTTACATATCCTGAAAATGAATTCTTTATAGGTTGTTACTTTGATCATTAATAAATACAGTCACAGATGAATTTAGGTGGATGATTTAATTTGCCAATTTTGCTTAGCCACTGTCCAACCACCCCATTTGTGGAACAGAATAGGGAAGGAGTACTCTTAGGGGGAGAGGACGGAAGTATCACTATTTATAAGCTGTGCATTCTGAAAGAGTTATATAATAAGTTTGGAAGAAGCTAGGTTTTCATACCTATTTTGGGCAAGTACAATGTCAATTCTCAGGCTCAAGGTTTACAAGTTTTTATGAACAGAGGACCAGCAGTATTTACCCTTTAAAAAATCATATAATTTAAGAGATGGAAAGAATAAAACAAAGATATAAGTTCTTCATTTGTATAAAAATGGTAATATTACCTACATATAGGGTTCATATTAAGATCAATTACTACAATCCACATAAAAACCATTAATAAATGTCATTTATTAATATTATTATGAAATAATTATTACTCCTTAGTTTCCACCTCAGGATATTTCCTAAGACCTACAATGTAGTGTAAATTTGATTCTGTTTCTGTTTTGTATTTCCTTCTGTTATTGGCCCTTCTGTTTTTTGATATGATTTTCATGAACTTCCTATAAATGGGCTAATTGACCTTTCTCACCAGCTTCAAGGTAGAAGCATGACCTAGGCCTAACACTATCAATAAATTCCATGCCTCTGGCTACTGTGATTGTTTCAAGATAGGCAATATGACTAAAAGCAAAGCTAATCAGAACAGTGAGAATTTTTGCTAGAGTCATGGGGAAAGGGATTCATTAAATTTGAATTTGAATTTGAATTTGGGAGGATGTAGTGTTGAAACTTCTGCATTCACATTGCTACCATCCAGAGATCATATATTTGAGATTGAAGTTAACACAAATGCGCCAAAATAAAGCCAAAAATAAAGCGAGAAGCTGGATGCTAATGGGTGTTTGAGATCCATGAATCAAGCTACACCATTAGACTGTTGGGATATATGGGCCCATAACTTCCTTTTCTTTAAGCCAATTTTTAAATTCATTTCTCTCCTTGGGACAATTATATCAGACCCTACCCTTGACCTATCCTCTGTAACCTGAGTCCTTTAGTGAGATTTTCAGGAATATGACTAAAAAATAAAATCTTCTCTGACATTTTATCAACTGCAAAACTCTAGATATTCTGATATTTCCACACGAATCTTCAGTGTATTGAGTGGTTCGAATATCAAAACTGAGAAAATAGAACTGACCATATTGGCTTTTTGAGGTTATTCGTTGTCATGCTCAGCAATACAAAAAAATTGAGAGCTTGACTTCAAAATAAATATGCAAACAACTATTATTTACATGAATAAATAAGTCATTTCATTATGCTGGGAAGTTTATTCTTTATTGTAGGAAGGAAAGCAAAAATCAGCAATAGTAAATTCCATAATACTCTGATAATTAACTCCTGATACACCTTTAAACTGCCAGATATGTAGATTTTACTCTGATGAAACAGAACTGTATTTGATATGTTATTGGAATATTTGTGCATAGCTATGTAAGCTGAGACCATTATCAGGAACCAGTCAAATTCAAGTGATGCTACTGTATTTTTAAATTATTTCTCTTAGTATCCTAGCATCAAATGGTGGGGATAGGTCACAGTTGGAGTTGGTAGAGAAAGCAGGCATAATAGACTTGTATTGAGGCAGAAAGGAGGAAGAGGTGAGTTAAGGACAGGGAAAAAAGAGGCTGAGGGGTGATCACTGACTTTAGTAGTGTTAAAAATGCCAAGGGCAAGATTCAAGGCAGGAGAGACATAAAATCAGGAGACTGAGATTTCTCGTCCTCTGGAACAGACTGTTTCCTGTGGTGGCTCTTCAGCACTCTGGATAGCTCCCAAGATACATAAGCACTGGAACTAAATCCAAAGCTTTTTCCTTTAAGGCGTTTTATCCTATAACTCAACCATCCAACTGGCCCTTTCCCATCAAGCACAATATTCTGATCATCCAAGTGATGTTACTAGTTTTGCTAAACTCAGTTTCTGTGGTCTAGAGATAAACCACAAAAACTTTTTATCTTCACATCAGTTGTGAATTTGTGTCTTAGTCCTCTTTCTGTGTAGCATCTACAAGAATTGTCTTTTTTTTTTTTTTTTTTTTTTTGAGACAGGCCTTCACTCTGTAACTCAGGCTGGAGTGTAGTTGCTCAGTCACAGCTCACCACAGCCTCAACCTCTTAGACTCAAGTGATCCTCCCACCTCAGCCTCCCATTAGCTCCAACTACAGGCATGAACCACAATGCCCACCTAAGACATTATCTTATAGCTATTATGTTAGGATGAATAGGCAAGGATGAGAAGATAAGGATGTACAAAGATATTTGTTAGAAGATTGTTTAAAATATAAATATTCCAAAAAACTTGAATCTTCATCTATGGGAAAATAAATATATAAATTGTAGTATATCTATATAAAGAAATAGTATGTCATAATGAAATATAACAACATACACACAATGATATAGAATAATTTCCAAAATATGCTATTAAGATAATTTTTAAAGATGGAAAACAAAAGAGAAGTGCTGCAGAGTAGTGTGAACAGTGTATTTCTACCAATGGAAAAAGATTAATATGCTTTTATGTGAAAATAATATTACTGGAAGGTTAAATAAGAAACTGGTAATAGCCTCTAGGAAGAAGATCTATTGAACTGTTTGAGTTTTTACCATGTACACGTATTATTCTTTCCAATAAAAATGCTGTTTATACGTGCATTTTAAAGGTAAAATTTAGAGGAATAAAGAATTGTAACCGTAACCATTGTGCTCCTTTGCAACCTCCATTAATAGATGCAGTAAGCTCTCATAAACCTGAGCCATTTGGCAAAGATTCCTGTGGTTCATTACTATTTTTTAGTCCTTTTCTCTAAAACTTGAAAAAACAAGTTGACTCCCAGAAACAATTTTCAGTTATTGGCAAGTCTAATTCTGTATATTCAAAATCCTGTTTATGACTCTTCAAAGTGATTAAAAGAACACTCTTAAGCAGTTCTCATGAACTTTCAGAGAAGCAATAATATGGGAAACAAAAGTCACAGACATTTCTTCCAGAACACATCGTTCTGTGGTTAACTTGGTTAAGATCTTCCGCCCATAGAAATCAGATGCCAGCAATTTCTGAGAATTTCATCCCACTCAATAGTGCATAATGACTGCGGGATAAATCAATGTCTTAGAAATCTGAAAAACTCTGAAAAAGAACATCTAATGTGACCTGCGGGGTCATAAGAGGAAAGATATATAGTAATATTCTGGTAGTGTTTATCTCTGGTGAGATCATATCTTAACCTATATTTGTGTGTATTTTATATATATATAATATATATATATACTATAGAGCATGTATAATATATATACTATATTTACTTTATGTTATATATACTATATTTACTTATATATTTAGTATATATGGTACATATAATATACATATGAATTATATGTACTATATATACTATATATACTTATATATGTAGCATATATAGCATATATAGTATATATACTATATATACTAAATATATAAATATATAAGTATATATAAAAGTATATATAAGTATATATAGTATATATATTATATAGGATTTATACTATATATACTAATATAAATATATAAATATTATATATATTATATATAAATTAATATATATAAATATATTATATTAATTTATATATTTATGTATATTTAGTACATATAATATATATACTATGTATAGTATATATAATTATATATTTAGTATATATAGTATATATACTTATATATTTAGTATATGTAGTATATATAGTATATATACATAAATATTTAGTATATGTAGTATATATAGTATATATACATATATTTAGTATATATAGTATACTATATATACTATACTAAATATGTAGTATATATAAACTATATATACATACTATATATAAACTATATAGTATATATACATATTTTATATATATAGTTTATATATACTATATTTTATATATATATAGTTTATATATACTATATTTTGTATATATATAAAATATAGTATATATAAACTATATATATACTAAATATATATACTAAACACATACTATTATATAGTATATATAGTATATATACTATATATACTAAATATAGTAAATATACTATACATTACATATTACTATAATACTATATATTATAAATATAGTAATATTAATTAAGTATATAGTATCATATTATATATAATACTACATATTTATATATAATTATATATAAAATATATATAATAATATATAATATATAATACTATATATTTAACATAATATATTAAATATATAGTAATTATATGAATTAAATATATAGTAAATATAAATTACTATATATTATAAATATAGTAATATACTATATATACTATATTTAGCATATATAGTATATATACTTATATATTTACTTTATATACTATACATACTATCTATACTTATATATTTAGTACATACTATATATAGTATATATATACTAAATATATAAGTATAGATAGTATATATAGTATATATACTAAATATAGTATATATCAGTATACATATACTAAATATAGTATATATCAGTATATATACTAATATGTATATATTAGTATATATATACTATAGTGTATATATAATATAGTATACATATATTAGTATTTTATATATATACTATATATATTTTATAATATATAGTATACATAATATATATTTTTTCTGGAAAATACAGAAAAGGATATATATATAAAAGGATATATATAAAAGGATATATATATCCTTTTTGCATTTTCCAGAAAATATATATAGTATATACTATATATTATATAATATATAGTATATACTATACTACTATATATACTATATATTATGTATACTATATATACTATCTATACTATATTAATATATACTATATATATTATATACTATAGATAGTATATACCATACTAATATATATACCATATATTATATAATATATAGTATATACTATACTATATAGTATATACTCCATAGTATATTATATATAGTATATACTCTATAGTATATATAGTATATACTCTATAGTATATATAGTATATACTATAGAGTATATGCTATATAGTATAGTATATACTATATAGAATATAATATATGGTATATATATTAGTATGGTATATACTATATATAGTATATAATATATAGTATATATTAATATAGTATACATAGTGTATATAGTATACATAATATATAGTATATATACATATTAATACAGTATACATAATATATAGTATACATCATAGATAGTGTATATATAATATATATAGTATATATACTATCTATAATATGTATATTATAGATAGTATATATACAATATTATATATTCTATATATACAATATATATACAATATTGTATATATAATATAGTATACATAATATATAGTATATGTGGTATATATAGTATATATATAGTATATATAGTATATATAGTATATACTCTATAGTATATATAGTTTATATAGTATATACTCTATAGTATATATAGTATATAGTATATAGTATATAGAGTATATACAGTATATAGAGTATATACTATATACTATATATTATGTGCTATATTATATACTATACCAATATATACCATATATTATATACTATGTATAGTTTATACTGTATAGTATATACTATGTATAGTATATACTACACTTATATATGCTATATGTTATATACTGTATATAGTATATACTATTGTATATATACTATATATTATGTGCTATAGTATATACTATACTTATATATACTAGCAATTATATACTATAGTATATACCATACTAATATATATACTATATATAATATACTATATATAGTATATGCTATATAGTATACTATATAGCATATACTATATATAATATATTATATAGCATATACCATATATAATATACTATATATAGTATATACTATATATAATATACTATATATAGTGTATACTATAGTTATATATACTATATATTATATACTATATATAGTATATAGTTTATATTACATACTCTTTGTAGTATATACTATACTAATATATACTATATATTATATACTGTATATAGTGTATACTATACTATATGTACTATATATTATGTGCTATAGTATATACTATACTAATATATAAGCTAAATATTATATACTATAGTATATGCTACACTTATATATACTATATATTATATGCTATATATAGTATATACTATGTTATATGCTATATGTATTATATACTACATATAGCATATGCTATATGTAGTATATACTATGTATAGCATATGCTATGTGTAGTATATACTATATATTATATGCTATATGTAGTATATACTATATATTATATGCTATATATAGTATATACTATATATTATATGCTATATATTGTATATACTATATATTATATGCTATATATTGTATATACTATATATTATATGCTATATGTAGTATATGCTATACTTATATATGCTATATATTATGTACTATATATAGTATATACTATACTTATACATACTATATATTATATACTATCTATAGTATATACTATACTTATACGTACTATATATTATATACTATATATAGTATATACCATACTTATAGATAGTATATATTATATAGTTTATACTATATAATATATACTATATATTATGTGCTATAGTATATATCATACTTACTATATACTATAGTACTACATATACTATATATTATATACTATAGTATATAATATAGTAATATATATACCATATATTATACAATATAGTATATACTATAGTAATATATATGCTATATATTGTATACTATAGTATATACTCTACTAATATATATACCATATATTATACATAATGTAATATGTATATTATATATTATAGTATATTATATACAATATAGTGTGTATGTTATATATTATAGTATATTCTATATATATAAAATTCACGCTAGTATAGGTGAAGATATGATCTCACCAGAGGTAAATACTACTAGAATATTACCATATATCTTTCCTCTTATGAGTCTTTGGCAGGTTTGAGTATTTTAATTTAACCTTTATCTGAGTCTATCTTGTACCTCTTGACTAGCTTCTTTCATTGGAAGATCCACTGTCCGAGTTCAGTACCTGCAAATTCATCTTTGTACCTCCGTATTGAGCAAATCACAGTTTTCCCCACAAGTATGACAAGAAATAGAAATGACTGTCGGCTTTCATAGTGAATCAGTAAATGTTTCTCTTCTAAAATTTAAGTTTTTCTGTAAATAAGTGGGCATTTATGCCACTCAGAACTTATTTTCAAACTTAAATCTGAGGAGCACTTCATACATTTCCCTTATTAGAGTTAAAAGGCCTCTTAGATATGAATTCCCTCTCTTTGTTATAAGTGATGCTCAAAGATGAATTGATTTTTCTTGGTTATAAACACATGGTCAAACCCTCCCTCTGCACCCCCGCAGGTCACATTAGATGTTCTTTTTCAGAGTTTTTCAGGTTTCTAAGACACTGATTTATCTTGCAATCATTATGTACTCTTGAGTGCGATGAAATTCTCAGAAATTGCTGGCATCTGATTTCTATGGGTGGAAGATCTTAACCAAGTTAACCACAGAACAATGTGGAGATATATATATATATCTCCATATATATACATATATGAACGAATTCTGGAAAATACAAAAAAGGATACCTATATTGTATTTTCCAGAATTCCTACCATAACTTTGCATACTTTTAGAAAAAATAAGTATTTTTAAAGCATATAGCAATCCAAAAGATAATGTAATTATGAATAAAACAGAACTTATAATATGCACTACAAATTATATTAAATATACTAAGGATTATTTGGCTCCTTTATTCTGAAACTAGAGTAGACCTTTAAATTAAACTCGTTAATAGGTATCACTACCCGCCTTTCAGGGTACAGGACAGCCACATTTTTCTACAAAGTCTTGTTTTGCATTGATCACTTACTTTCTCCTCTGAGTTCCCATAATTCTTGTTAGCTTTTGCAACAGTGGTATTTTATGCTGGCTTTTCATTGTATCTATTTTTGTTTGCCTGTGTTGTGTGTGCACGTGTATGTTGTCTTTCCAACTGTATAGTGTGCTCTTTGAGGATAATGAACAAACCTTCTAAGTCTATGTAGCCTCTAAATTCCAGCATCATATTTTCATTATGTTAATTAGATATTTATTGATTTATAATATAGCCTTAATTAATTTATGAAATGTAAGTTGTATAATTAAATATGTCATAGAGTTAACGGACCTAAAATCACAAGATTACTATAAAATCAACAAGTTGCTTGAGTACTTTATTGAGTAAAATGGATGACTCACCTCTCTTCTTCCTCTGGAGATTTCATTAAAGAGCTGTATTTGCTAGAGACTGCACTGGCCTTTTTTTATTCACCCTAAAATACAAGATATTTAAATTCACCCTTTTAACTTGCACAACAACTTAGCCCCAAGATTATATGAAAATCATTTTCTCAATCTTCCCAGGTGGAAGAACAGCAGCAGTTGGTGAGTTGAAGTTGCCTGACTTTTCTATAATGGATTCCATAGGTTTGCTAGACACCCCTGTCTGTCTGTAGTGGTTCTCTGGGGAAATAATAATGGAATGATCTATGTCCATCTTTGCTTCCTTCCTTCAAAGAAAAAAGTACCCAAATGTTATCAAAGACCAGATCCTCTGTCTGGGCTTTCTATCACAACCTCTTTAGAAACCAGTTCTTTCAAGTACATCTTTTTAATCATTCTACCATTGCCTTCTTCTCTTTGAACTTCAAACATGCATAGATCTTCCTTTTTATGAAAAATAATTTGACCTCCCTAATCAGGGCACTAACTTGCTGCACTAATTCAAACCTTTTCTTGCATAACTTTCTTCACTCTCTGTCCTTCATTTTGCTACCATTTACTTTATCTCTCTTTTATCTGCAAAGTCACTATACACAGACGTGCAGATTATAGTTTATATAATGATACCCCAGAAACGTTCAGTGCACAACCTGTACAAATGCATAAAGTAGTCTTGTTTACTTTATGCCACTTACTTATGTTCCCCTTTTTCCTTTCCCCCATCCTTGCCACATTTCAAATTATACTATACATAGTTTCCAAATAAATTTTCCTAAAATATTTGCAAATATTTCTTGGATTAGATAAAGTCTAAATGCCCAACTCTGGTTTCCAGTGCTCACCATCTTTTCTACTTCATTTCTACTCTTTGAAAGAGAGCTTCCAATACAGTCATATTCATTTTCCAAACAAACTTAACATTGTCATCACTTTATCATTTAGTATGTGCTGTCTCCCTACTTGGAACGTTTTACCCACATCTTCACTCATATAATTTCTACAAATCTTCAAAGTCCAGCTTAAACTCTATGTTTCTGTAAAGCTTTACTGACCACCAGAGCCCACAAGAACTTCTCAATCTGCTCTCTGATTTCTGTACTATTTGACACTTATGTACTGACTTTTTAATATTTTTTTGTAAATGTATATATGTTCTGTTCTTTTTTTCACTTGATTTAAATTTCTAATAAAGAACAGATATTATAACTCTTTGTGTTCTTCAAATTATACAATATCATATTTTACATATAGTGATATACTTAGTAAAAGTTGATAATAACCTGATTTTCAGTAACTGACAGGTTTCTGTTAGCATATCTATCAGAATTAAAATTTTATCTTGACTTTTTTCTTAAAAATAGGTCAGTTTATTTCACAAGGAGTATGTTTGTTTCTTGGTGGTGGTGGTGGTGGTGTGTGTGTGTGCACGCACGTGTGTGTTGTATGCACATGCTCACACTTCAAGTTACATAGTTATGCCAGCATTCCTAAAGCTGGTATTGAGGATATGAAGGTGTGTTACTACTACTGTTACAACTAATAGTAATAAAAATAATTTGGACATACACTCCATCTAAATCTTCCTCCTACAGAGTCACACTACACATTAAATTTCTGAAAAGTCCCTCATAAAGGAGTCCTTTGAGTTTTAAGCTAAACTCAAAGGACTTGGCAATGCTTCACATCAGGGATTTAAAAGTTGTATTAATGAAAATAGCCATATTTGGGAAAATTATTTTCAGAAGTTATTTCCTCAAATGTTAGTATTTTCCAAAGAAATCTCTTCAAATATTTATGAGGGAGTTGGAGTTGAGGGGAAAAAGAAAATATGTCACTTTTCTAAAAGAAAAACAGTAATATTTATAATTATTTAATATAAAAAAGGAAATTTATGAATTCTTATCTGTTAGCCTTTAAGTTTTTCTTTCAAATGAACTGATTTAAAGAATACTATTCTAATTCTGTTTAAAAAATTATATAAACAGAATATTCTGTAGACTCCTTATACAATTGCCCAAGAAATATATTACTGTAAATCCCATACTGAGTTCATAAATCCAGGGCTAAAAAAAAAATCTAGTGCCTGAAATTATTGCTTTAATTTTATATCTAAATTTTAGCTTGCTTTTTTTAACAAACAAAAAAGGCAATAGAAAGCCAGAGAGCAAAATCCTTTAAGTTAGATAAAGGCTTTTAAAGGTTAATAAGCTCCAGAATAAAGAAGTGCTCTGCCCATCACAGGGCAGAGTGAAAAGATCACAAGATTTTTGAGTTAGACTTACTTGGGAAGCTCTGCTACTGATCAGATACATGGAATTGAATATCAATATCAATATCAAGAGGCTGCAAAACTGTACTACTTTTGGATTTTTGAAGGAGGGAAATAATAGAATTATGATGTATAATGCCAATGAAACATTATTAAGTTCACCCTCACAGAATGAATGTTTGCCTCATCTCAACTTCATGCACAAAGTTCAGCCAAATATGTAGAGTTACAGAATATTCAACAACTGTTGTATTCTTTAGGAATGCAGCCTTGGTGAAGGTATGATGACTAGGATGAATAAGTCATCTAGAGATCCCCCTTAGCCAGAAGAATAATTTAAAATACATATGGTTTCAGATGTTTTGAATTGAGTATAATTCTTGACCTGCCTGTTGTGAGCTTTTTCTTAATACAGAATTCCTGTTATTCTTCTTTAACCAACAACCGTGTATGAACATTGGCCATTCAAGTATAGCAATATCCCAATTGACTCTCACAAGCATTCTCTTTAAAGTAAAAATTCAATGTTCTTGCAAACTGGAGATACTTTTTCCCACCTCAAAATACTGTTTGGTGAAACAATAAATTTGAAGCCTAAGACACTATAGTTTTTCTGATACTTAATAGAGCTACTTCATTCCCTATGGATTTTTTTTCTATTTTATAAATATAATTTCCATTCTTTCCATTCTCCTTCTATTTGAATTATTCTTAAAATAAATCACACAGAAGTAAAATAAGAATGTGATATGTTTATGACATTTCTTACACTGGGATATTCTGACATCCCTATGTTTGAAATAGAATTTTTGTTTTCTTTTCAAATGTAAGCTGTGATTATTAAGGTTAAATTCATGAGCCAGAAAAAATTTTAAAACAAAATTTACAAATATTTGGGCGGTGGCTCTTACTTTTTGAACTTGCTCTCACATAGATAATGTATTCCCTCCTTTGTGTCATAATTTGTAGCTATTAGTCAAGGTCAGAATGAATAGGTAAATACAGGAATATTTGCTTTTCTTACACTTCTTTTGAACTACAAAGTTCTTATCTGGTCAATTTACAGATTCAGAGACCCATATGAATATCATATTGAGATATGCAATTGCAAAGATTCCTGTTACCAACTGGAATTATCAAATGAATCCTCTTTTCTTCTGTCATTGATGTTCTCTCTTTTTATGTAATAAAAGTTATTTAATAGTTTATAACACTGTTATGACTTTATTCCTATTCAGAGGAAAAATTTATCCTCATAAATACATGCCCTTATTTTATCAAATATTTTACACCCTAAGAACATAATATTTCTTATACCTATATACCATGAACATTTACAACTAAAGACAATATTGTCATGGATAACACAATCATTACCATAAACAGGATATATACATAAAATTATATATATATGTATCTATATATTTCTCATATATATATATGTATATATATCTCAGATAATGCCAACTCAGAAGAGAGATGATACACAGATTTCTGACGACACTTAACCTAAGTGTCTCTTCACAAAGTCAGCTTTGGAAATGGTTGTCATCAATGTCTGTGTCCTTGGCCTGCCTCGGGGAACCTGCACGTGAAAGTGTTGACGGGACAGGCATGCTGTCCACATCCCTGGCCCTTTGACACTGTCTCTTTTATACTCCTTGGGACTGTAGGTGCTGGCTGCAGTAGCAATGCCTCTTCTACATGTCAAATAGGAATCAGCATTATTAATGGATGAGTTCTCAAATTCTCCCCTCTTCCTTCTTCTAGCTTCTTGAAATCAAAACTTTTTGCTTGCCAAGCTATCTCTAGAGGTCTATTAAAGAAAAAAGGAAAATTCAGAGATAATGTAAGAAACCAAGAAATCAGACAGGCTAAGTGGAAGTGGGAAATAAGTGAATGAGCCAGAGGTGGGGAGGGAAGAGAGAGACAAAAGCACTGTGGCTTTCAGAGATTTCGTGAGGGATTTTTGTAGAAATTAGTGACGGGGGGAGGGATTTTAAAGATTATGCATTAAGAATGTTCTTTCTAGAGTATCCTCTGGAATAATATTTATCCCAAAGAGTGCTGTTGGTATTAGGAAAACTGTTCTTCAACATGTAGGACTGTCCCACACATTGCAGGATGTTTAGTATCTCTGGTGCCAGCCACTTACTAAATGCTGGAAATGCTCTTCATCATGAAAAGTGAAACCATTTATATGTATTTGTAAATATCTCCAAAGAGGTACTTCTGCCACTGGTTGAGAAACACGGCCCTGGAAGTGGAGTAGTCAAAATCAAGCTCTGGATATGGGGAATATATATTTATGAACTGTGATTCTTTAAATGTGATGAAAATTGAGCCACAATGAACTCAAAATATATTACATTTGTGTAATGTATCTCTCACATGTATTGTATTTTGGGCACCTGGATAGCAGCTATGCTGTTTTATATGCATGAGAAAATGGGATTTGAAATATAAAGAAAGAAGTGTACTTCTATGGCAAATAAGTGAGGTTAGAGGCAAGATAGGAAAAATTTTTAAAGGAAGTCAGCATTTCCTAACTGCCTGCTACATAATGTAATTTATCTAAAATCACAAGATGGTTAAGTGACAGGATCTAAACCCAGGTTAGTATAATTGCAAAGCCCATGATTTGTTGCGTTTTGACAGGAGTTCAGTGAAGTGGTAAGAAAATCAAATTTAAAGACTACTTTAGAAAATATAAGTATAAACAAAAAATATTTTTTTTCTCCAGGTTTGAACAGCATCCAAACCTCATATTATCCTCCTACGCCTAATCTAGTAATGTTAGGTATCATGCCCTCTATCAATAGATTTGAGAAGATGTTAAAGAGGAAAACCTAAGAAATTAAACATGAATGTTCTCAAAAAGGCTTACCATAAACTAATCTTATTATCAGCAAATGAGATAATTTACAGAAAACCAAAGAGGAAAAAAAATTGTCTGTGTCCTAAGGAAAATGCTTGATTTCTTGATTTTCCTGGGCTAAGGGCCAGAAGCATTAATAGCAATGCATTATTATTCTAAATTCAATGAATTATTGTTCATATCAGTATTAATTTTGAAAGAGATGCTCTTACTGATATTAATTTCAGAGTATTAACTGGAAACCATCACCTTGCTTAGAACAATTTTCAGATGAAAGAGTTCTGAGCGTGACTTGATTCTTTTCTTTAACTTTCCCATCCAAAAGCTCTGGCAAGAACACCCTGGGTGTGACTCCTGCTGAGCTGCCAGCATGGCACACTTATGCCTCTCAGTTTGCTGGCCTAGAAGTGGTCAAAATGACAAAGGCAATAGGCCCTGTGAGCTCTTTAACATTACAAAGAAGATTTAAGTGAATTTTCAAAGCCTTAGGATAATGATCACGAAAAGACTTTATTCTACAGGCTGACACAGATTCCTCGGCTAGTGGAGGCCATCACCAGTGCGTCATTCTGTCTTGTGCCATCTCCCTACAGCTTAAGGATAGACTTGACTGGAAATATTTGCACATGCAGGTGTTTTTTTAGGGCAAGAAGCAGTTCTCTGACTTCTCATTGCTGCCGAAGGGCTAGCCTGGCTTTCCTTGGCTCGGCAATCTGGTACAAGTCTGCTGAGTCAGATAAAATGCAGAGGATTCTATCCTTGCCATCACATGCATCACAAATTCAATGGACCACAAAAGATTGAATCTTTCGTTTAAGCATTATCGTGAAAATTTGTTTCAATTACTGTGGCTGAAGAAACACTTTAAAGCAAAGAATCAAGGTATGTCAGGAAAATGCCTTTCTTTTTTCTCCAAAAATTTCCAAATAACAGATGGTAGAGTTCTTTTAAAAATTATTGATAATACTTGTTAAATATGGTAAAAAGATCTTATTCAAGCCAGGCATAGTGGCTCACACCTATTATCCCAGCACTTTGGGAGGCTGAGGCAGGTGGATCACTTGAGGCCGGGATTTCGAGACCAGCCTGGCCAGCATGGCAAAACCCCATCTTAACTAAAAATACAAAAATTAGCTGGGTGGTCACGCGTGCTTGCAATCTCAGCTGTTCGGAAGGCTGAGGCAGGAGAATGCTTGAACCCAGGAGGCAGAGGTTGCAGTGAGCTGAGATCGTGGCACTGTGCTCTAGCCTGGGCAACAGAGTGAGACTCTGTCTCAAAAAAGAAGAGAGATTATTCAAGGGGACTTGAGATAGATAAACAGGCAGGCTACAAAAATTAGGTTTTGTTTTAGGGGAATGAGATCGAGCTCAGCTCTGAATACAAAGAATGTGAGAAGCCAGGTAACAGGGTGGGGGTCAGTGGATAGGAAGTTACTAATAAGAAACCTCAAGGATGAGATGAAATTCTGGCTGAGGTGACCTAACGGGATTTTTGCTGAATGCAGGCCAGGGTGATCAGACAACACCTAGGGGTGGTAGAAAATGAGGAACCTGACAAGAGAGCAAGGGCGATTAGATTTCAGTGGTGGGGGATGCTGGTTACGCTGATTCCACATGATTCTTGCTAAAATTGGACAATTTAAAGATGAACGTGGACTTCCAAAAGTCAAGACCTAGTTTAGAAGAGAGTTTCAGTAGAGGTTGACTAGAGTGTGCTCATAGAGAGAATCTTTGTCAGTAGTGATGGCAATAATAACACTAACAAAGTATAATAGTTCTTTCTGATAGTAAGAAATGAACGTTTTTAGATAACTTTGACCAGATCTCAAAATCTCTTTATACCTTAATTCCACTAAAGACTTTTGAAATAGTTTCAGTGGCAGATAAATGTAAGTTTGATTGTGTATGTGTTGGGCGGAGGGGAAATTGTGCATGGCTTTCTTTAATGGCTTTGGATTAAATAAGACATTTCTTATTTAATTTAAATTAAAAATCTTTTGTTTTAGAGATTGGCTCTTTATAATTCACTTAAGAGAAACAAAAACAGTAAATGCTATGATAAAATATAAGAATTGTTTCCTTTAGCTGATTATATTAATTAGACAATAGGCAAATCATTCCTTTCATGCCATTTAATCCCAGTTTCTGTGATACCTGCTGAAGAAAAACTGGTTCAATTGTAAATACTCCAGTGGTACCTTTTGTAGGCATAATTTTTAAAGAAGTCTCAAGGGTTGGTTTTCCTTTGATTATTGAACTCATCACTCTAATCTCCAAATAATAAGGAACAGGTTATTGGGCCAAGATGCAGTCAACAGTATCCTCTAAGAGAAACTAAAATAGGTTAGAAGGATTTCAACGAGAACTTTGAGAACTTTGCAGGTTTTTATCATTTACTTTAGTCCAATAGAGGCTGCAAGTTGAAAATAAAGTGATTAAGAGAGAAGCGTCTATTTAAAATGACTTGGGCTGTGTGAAGTGGCTCACACCTGTAATCCCAGCTCTTTGGGAGGCTGAGGTGGGAGGATGGCTTGAGGTCCCAGTTTGAGATAAGCCTGAGCAACATAGCAGGACTCCCATCTCTACAAAAAGTAAAAAAAAATTAGCTGAGCATGGGGGCATGTGCCTGTAGTCTCAGCTCTTCAGGAGGCTGAGGTGGGAGAATCACTTGAGCCCAGAAGTTTGAGGATGCAGTGAGCCATGATTGTACCAATACACTCCATTGTGGGTGACTGAGAAAACCCTGTCCCAAAAAAAAAAAAAAAATGGAAAATAAAATGACTTTTGGACATTTCTGGTTTTATTTAAGGGAACAGTGAATAATGAAAAACACAGTTTTCAAATATGCATCGTAGTGCAGGTTGACCTTAAACAATTCGCCAAGCCTTCCTCAATTATCAAACCCAGCTTTTACATCTCTCGTTTCAGCATTTCATTTGGCCTCTATCAGTGCTCCTTTAGCTCTTCATTCAAATGTCCCTTTGAAACAAAGATAATCTTGTCAAAATATATCCCAAAGAACCCACAAAACAGGCTTTTTTTGTGGCAGTGACCTGATGAGAAATAGTTCCCAAGCACAGTTTATACTGTGAAAATTATTATTTAATTCCATCATGAGTTAGAAGTCAATTTGCAGTCATTTGAGAAGATCTGAAATAGGTGACTGCTGTAAGATCCCTCACCTGTCTCCTTATAGTAGCAAAGAGCACAAACTCCTATTGTTAATGGTTTTAATAAGAAAAAGAAATGTCCGCAGCAATACTGCAGTCAGCCTGGAACAACTCAGATTAACACGGTCATGTTCATCATTTAATATATGTCAAGCATCTAATGAATACTTGGCTATAAAATAAGCACTATGGAGATTTGAGAGACCACAGACAGTATGATTATTGCTTTCTGGGAATCAGCTATCTAAAAAGCCCCAATTCAAGTATATAGTATTCAATAAGGTAATATAGTTAACTCTTGATTCAGCTAAGATAGTTATACAAATAATGGAAAATTTCAGGTGGTATCATCATAAAAGATCATCAGAAATGATCTAGTTTAATTCCCTTCATTTTACAGAAGAAACTGAGGTTCAGAAGGTTAATGACTTGTCATCATCACAGTCAACTGGAGATTCAAGCTTGTTATCCATGTTCTTATTATCTAAGTGATATCCAGGTACAGATGAGACTCCATTCTGTGGATATGGTTCTAAATCCTTGGGTATAGGTAGTCCTGTGAGTCTACTCGTACACACACACACACACACACACACACACACACACACACACAATGTAAAATGCAGAAAGAGAGAATAACTACAAAAGGCAGCCCCATGAAAAAAGGAAGAGAATGAGAGAATGGGAGGCACAGAGCTGTTGCTGGTTCATTGCAGTTCTGAACTCTGGCTGGACAGGTGTTGTCAGTTACTTGATTGGGACACAATGGCATATTCTGGCTCCAAGAAATGATTCTCCAACGCTCTTAGTTCTTCCTCTGGGTTCTTAGTTTCCCCCTCGAAATCATTCTACCTTTTCTGTAAGAAATAACCCTGTTTCTATCTGGGTATGTATTCCAGCCTGTTCCCTGCCCACAGAAAACTCAGGTACTTGCTACAGAGGCTTACAGTGTTAAAGGGGCCATCACTAATCATGGCACTAAACTATTAAAGAAAACAAGCTGACATTAAATGGAAATAAAATGTGTCAGGACATTTTATGAACATAGATAAGAGTTAAACTTAACCTCTTTCATTTAAAAATAGGTATATAATCTTACAATGGTATGATTACCATAGCCATAGCTTTGTGTTAGAATGTCATCCCAAAGTGAATTAACTTAAAAGACAAAAAAAGTTTAAAAACCTAACCTCTTTTTCTCAAGCAAATTGAAATTATTTGTAAAAAAATTTCACTTTTTGTGTTTTAATAATGAAAATCCATAATTAATTAGAGATAAATGTTCAACATATAAGCAATGATCATCTCTTTAATAAACAGAATATGCAACACACTTTTTCTTCCTACTTTCTAAAATATTTCATAATCAATAATCAACATAAAAATAAAGAAGAAAGCCAAAGCAATACAAGGTTAACCAAAAAAAAAAAAAAAAAAAGAACTTCTTGGAGGAAATAAACTGCTGTCTAACTTGGAGGGAAAAACAGTTTAGAAGACAAAGTGGCAAATTCTAGTAAATTCAATAGAAAAGTAGATAACACTAATAAATACCCTCTTTCCTGAAGTTTTGTGGCCTTTGTTATGTTATCCAGCGACTGGGGACACAAGAGGAATTAAAATGTCTTTAGCAAGATGTATGACTTTTTTATTTTCATTCCTTTTATATTCATAACCTAACAACTTTTGTAATTAGTCTGTAAATGCCTTACTTACTAATAAATATTAAACTTATGTGAAAGGATTCATTTGAGTGGTATATAATCTTTATGTTTAGGATGAAATTTATCAACTTCAGCTAATTAAACTCACAGTTGTCATGCCTCCTATGCCTCTTGGAATTCAAATTAAGAATTTGATATCATATCTTTAATAGGTAAGGAACATTTTGTGACATTTGTTTCTTCTAATTAGTCTATTAAAATTGCATAAGAATTGCCTGTTAATTGAATAATTCTTTTTGCTCTAATAGAATTAATTAACTTTGACTATGATTCCGACTAGCCAATGATTAGCTCAAAAAGTCACATTGAAAATTATCCATGTCAACTGTTCTATTCACTTCCTACATTTTTCACTGGTGTAGTCAAATCTTGGTGTAATATCTAAAACAATGGCTAGGCAAATTCAGACACACATGGACACATACACTATACATATGTACACATACTATCCATATATACACACTACATATAGGTATGCCTCAAACTGCTTTTAGGACAAAATTTTACACATGTAATTAGTAAAAATATTTCATTGGCATCCTTACTTTTTAGGATTTTAAGGTAGACTAAGGTAGTCACAGAAAGATTTACAAAAAGGCCAAGGCGAGTTGATCACCTGAGTTCAGGAGTTTGAGACCAGCCTGACCAATATTGTGAAACCCCATCTCTACTAAAAATAGAAAACTTAGCCAGGCATGGTGGTGGGTGCCTGTAGTCCTGGCTACTGGGAGGCTGAGACAGGGGAATTGCTTGAACCCGGGAGGCAGATGTTGCAGTTAGCCGAGATCACGCCACTGCACTCCAGTTTGGGTGACAGAGCAAGACTCCATCTCAAAAAAAAGGAGCCCTTAGGAATCAGTAGAAAATAGATTGATGGAAAGGTAGAAGAAGGACCCTTAGAGTCATATGTCAAAATTAGAAGGAAAATGACTTTACCATATGAACAGCTTATATCCACATGCTAGTGAATTAAAAGATTAAGTAAATAGGGAAAGACTTTTTTAAAAATCTTGACCTTGTATATATTTGATTTACAGGCTATACAGAATATAAGCATTTTAATAATAATTATGATACTATGGATAACATCTCATCAAAACTATTTTCCTGAGTGGTTCGTTTCAAGTTAATTAATTTTTGATTAATATTCTAACAACAGTTAAAATACTGTTTTTCAGTTTTATTTTTAAAAATATTTTACTGAGACCATTATTTTTCTTTTAATGTTCACAGGGAAGATTTGATGCATACATTTTTTTCATTTATAACAAATTTTATAGATTATGACTTCTACCATTGAGAATTTTGTTCACTGTAACGTGGTCTGAATGTGTCCCTCCAAAATTCATGTTGAAACCTAATCCCAATTCCCATTATTGTGTTATTTAGAAGTAGGACCTCCTGGGAAGTATCTTACTCTGTTTTTACTGCTATAACAAAATACCTAAGACTGGGTAATTTATAAAGAAAATAAATTTATTTCTCACAGTTCAAAGTACAAATCAAGGTACTAGCAAATTCATTGTCTGGTAATAGACCAGTCTCCACTTCCAAGATGATGCCTTATTGTTGTATTCTCAAAAGAGGAGGAACACTGTTTCCTCACCTGGCAGAAAGTCAAAGAGGCTGAATGCTGCCTGAGTCCTCTATAATAAGGACCTTAACCCCATTCTTGAGAGAGGATCCTTCATGGCCTAATCACCTTTCAAAGAACACCCCTCTTAAGATCATCACATTGGCCATTAAGTTTCAACACATGAATATTGGTGTCTTTTAAAATTTGTATGGATACATAATAGTTGCACGTGTTTATGGGGTATACATGATATTTGATGCAAGAGTCTTGTGCATAATGATCAAAAGTAACTGGGATGTTCATCACCACAAATATTTATTATTTCTTTGTGTTGGGAAAATTTCAAATCTTCTAGCTATTTTGAAATATGCAGTAAATTATTATTAACTATAGTTGCCCTATTGAACTGTTGAATACCAGGACTTATCCCTTCTATCTAACTGTAATTTTGTACCCATTATGTGTCCTCTTTTCTCCCTTTCCCTTCCCAGCCTCTAGTTACTACCATTCTACCTTCTTCTTCCATGAGGTCTACATTTTTAGCTTCCACATATGAGTGACAACATGTGATATTTGTCTCTCTGTGTCTGGCTTATTTCATTTTTCATAATGACCTCTAGTTTCATCCATGTGGCTGCAAATGGCAGGATTTCACTCTTTTTTATGCTAAGTAGTACTCTGTTGAATATATATACCATATTTTCTTTATTCATTCATCTGTTGTTGGACACGTAGGTTGATTTCGTATCTTGGGTGTTGTGAATAGCACTGCAATAAGTATAGGAGTGCAGCTATCTCTTGAATATACTTATTTCCTTTCTTTTTGATACATAACCAGTAGTGGAATTGCTGGATCATATGGTAGTTCTATTTTTAGTTTTTTGAAGAAACTCCACACTGATTTCCATAATAACTATATGACCTTACTTGTCCATCAACGGTATATGAATGTTCTCCTTTCTCCACATCCTTGCCAACATTTGTTATTTTTTGTTGTCTTGATAATGGCCATTCTAATGAGGGTGAGATTATTATTATTATTATTATTATTATTATTATGCTTTCTTTTTAAATTTTTTTTATTATACTTTAAGTTCTGGGGCACATGTGCACAACATCCAGGTTTGAAACATAGGTATACGTGTGCCATGTTGATTTGCTGCACCCATAAACACATCATTTACATTAGGTATTTCTCCTAATGCTATCCCCAGCCCCCCACCCCCCGACAAGCCCTGGTGTGTGATATTCCCCGCCTAGTGTCCAAGTGATCTCGTTGTTCAATTCCCACCTATGAGTGAGAACATGCGGTGCTGATTTTCTGTCCTTGTGATAATTTGCTGAGACATGAACTCATCCTTTTTTATGGCTGCATGGTATTCCATGGTGTATATGTGCCACATTTTCTTAATCCAGCCTATCATTGATAGACATTTGGGTTGCTTCCAAGTCTTTGCTATTGTGAATAGTGCTGCAATAAACATACGTGTGCATGAGTTTTTATACTAGCATGATTTATAATCCTTTGGGTACGTACCCAGTAATGGGATTGCTGGGTCAAATGGTAATTCTAGTTCTAGATCCTTGAGGAATTGCCACACTGTCTTCCACAATGGTTGAACTAATTTACACTCCCACCAACAGTGTAAAAGCCTTCCTATTTCTCCACATCCTCTCCAGCATCTGTTGTTTCCTGACTTTTTAATGACAGCCATTCTAACTGGCGTGAGATGGTATCTCACTGTGGTTTTGATTTGCATTTCTCTGATGACCAATGATGATGAGCATTTTTTCACATGTCTGTTGGCTGCTTAAATGTCTTCTTCTGAGAAGTGTCTATTCATACGCTTTGCCCACTTTTTGATGGGGTTGTTTGTGTTTTTTATTGTAAATTTGTTTGAGTTCTAGGTAGATTCTGGATATTAGCCCTTTGACAGATGCATAGATTGCAAAAATTTTCTCCCATGTTGTATATTGCCTCTTCATTCTGATGGTAGTTTCTTTTGCCATGCAGAAGCTCTTCAGTTTAATGAGATCCCATTTGTCTATTTTGGCTTTTGTTGCCATTGCTTTTGGTGTTTTAGTCATGAAGTCCTTGCCCACCCCTATGTCCTGAATGGTATTGCCTAGGTTTTCTTCTAGGGTTTTATGGTTTTAGGTCTAACATTTAAGTCTTTAATCCATCTTGAATTAATGTTCTATAAGGTGTAAGGAAGGGATTCAGTTTCAGCTTTCTACAGATGGCTAGCCAGTTTTCCCAGCACCATTTATTAAACAGGGAATCCTTTCCCCATTTCTTGTTTTTGTCAGGTTTGTCAAGGATCAGATGGTTGTAGATGTGTGGTGTTATTTCTGAAGCCTCTGTTCTGTTCCATTGGTCTATATATCTGTTTGGTACCAGTACCATGCTCTTTAGGTTACTATAGCCTTGTAGTATAGTTTGAAGTCAGATGATGCCTCCAGCTTTGTTCTTTTTGCTTAGGATTGTCTTGGCAATGCAGGCTCTTTTTTGGTTCCATATGAACTTTAAAGTAGTTTTTTCCAGTTCTGTGAAGAAAGTCATTGGTAGCTTGATGGGGATGACATTGAATCTATAAATAACTTGGGCAGTATGGCTATTTTCATGATATTGATTCTTCCTATCCATGAGCATGGAATATTCTTCCATTTGTTTGTGTCCTCTTTTATTTCGTTGAGCAGTGGTTTGTAGTTCTCTGTGAAGAGGTCCTTCACATCCCTTGTAAGTGGGGTTCCTAGGTATTGTATTCTCTTTGAGGCATTTGTGAATGGGAGTTCACTCATGATTTGGCTGTTTGTCTGTTATTGGTGTATAGGAATGCTTGTGATTTTTGCACTTTGATTTTGTATCCTGAGACTTTGCTGAAGTTGCTTATCAGCTTAAGGAGATCTGGGTCTGAGATGATGGGGTTTTCTAAATATACAATCATGTTATCTGCAAACAGGGACAATTTGACTTCCTCATTTCCCAGTTGAATACCCTTTATTTCTTTCTCTTGCCTGATTCCCCTGGCCAGAACTTCCAACCCTATGTTGAATAGGAGTGGTGAGAGAGGGCATCCCTGTCTTGTGCTGGTTTTCAAAGAAAATGCTTCCAGTTTTTGCCCATTCAGTATGATATTGACTGTGGGTTTTTCATAAATGGCTCTTATTATTTTGAGATATGTTCCATCAATACTTAGTTTATTGAGAGTTTTTATCATGAAGGGCTGTTGAATTTTGTCAAAGGCCTTTTCTGCATCTGTTGAGATAATCATGTGGTTTTTGTCATTGGTTCTGTTTATGTGATGGATTATGTTTATTGATTTGCATATATTGAACCAGCCTTGCATCCCAGGGATGAAGCCGACTTGTTGTGGTGGATAAGGTTTTTTATGTGCTGCTGGATTAGGTTTGCCAGTATTTTATTGAGGATTTTCGCATCAATGTTCATCAGGCAGATTGGTCTAAAATTCTGGTTTTGTTGTTGTTGTTGTTGTGTGTCTGCCAGGCTTTGGTATCAGGATGATGCTGGCCTCATAAAATGAGTTAGGAAGGATTCCCTCTTTTTCTATAGACTGGAATAGTTTGAGAGACAATGGTACCAGCTCCTCTTTGTACCTCTGGTAGAATTCGGCTGTGAATCTGTCTAGTCCTGGACTTTTTTTGGATGGGTAGGCTATTAATTATTGCCTCAATTTCAGAGCCTGCTATTGGTCTATTCGGAGATTCCACTTCTTCCTGGTTTAGTCTTGGGAGGGTGTATGTGTCCAGGAATTTATCCATTTCTTCTAGATTTTCTAGTATATTTGCATAGAAGTGTTTATAGTGTTCTCTGATGATAATTTGTATTTCTGTGGGATCAGTGGTGATATCCCCTTTATTATTTTTAATTGCATCTATTTGATTCTTCTCTGTTTTCTTTTTTATTAGTCTTGCTAGTGGTCTATCAATTTTGTTGATCTTTTCGAAAAAACAGCTCCTGGATTCATTGCTTTTTTGAAGGATTTTTTGTATCTCTATCTCTTTCAGTTCTGCTCTGATCTTAGTTATTTCTTGCCTTCTGCTAGCTTTTGAATGTGTTTGTTCTTGCTTCTCTAGTTCTTTTAATTGTGATGTTAGGGTATCAATTTTAGATCTTTCTGCTTTCTTTTGTGGGCATTTAGTGCTATAAATTTCCCTCTACACACTGCTTTAAATGTGTCCCAGAGATTCTGGTATGTTGAGTCTTTGCTCTCATTGGGTTCAAAGAACATCTTTATTTCTGCCTTCATTTCGTTATTTACCCAGTAGTCATTCAGGAGGAGGTTGTTCAGTTTCCGTGTAGTTGTGCGGTTTTGAGTGAGTTTCTTAATCCTGAGTTCTAATTTGATTATACTGTGGTCTGAGGGACAGTTTGTTATGATTTCTGTTCTTTTACCTTAGCTGAGGAGTGCTTTACTTCCAATTACGTGATCAATTTTAGATTAAGCGTGATGTGGTGCTGAGAAGAATGTATATTCTGTTGATTTGGGGTGGAGAGTGCTGTAGATGTCTATTAGGTCTGCTTGTTGCAGAGCTGAGTTCAGGTCCTGCATATCCTTGTTAACCTTCTGTCTCACTGATCTGTCTAATATTGACAGTGGGATGTTAAAGTCTCCCATTATTATTGTGTGGGAGTCTAAGTCTCTTTGTAGGTCTCTAAGGACTTGCTTTATGAATCCGGGTGACCCTGTATTGGGTGCATATATATTTAGGATAGTTAGCTTTTCTTGTTGAATTGATCCCTTTACCATTACGTAATGGCCTTCTTTGTCTCTTTTGATCTTTGTTGGTTTAAAGTCTCTTTTATCAGAGATTAGGATTGCAACCCCTACTTTTTTTTTTTTTTTTTTTTTTTTGCTTTCCATTTGCTTGGTAGATCTTCCTCCATCCCTTTATTTTGAGCCTATGTGTGTCTTTGCACCTGAGATGGGTCTCCTGAATACAGCACACTGATGGGTCTTGACTCTTTATCCAATTTGCCAGTCTGTGTCTTTTAATAGGGGCATGTAGCCCATTTACATTTAAGGTTAATATTGTTATGTGTGAATTTGATCCTGTCATTATGATGTTCACTGGTTATTTTGCCTATTAATTGATGCAGTTTCTTCATAGCATCAATGGTCTTTACAATTTGGCATGTTTTTGCAGTGGCTGGTACTGGTTGTTTCCTTCCATGCTTAGTGCTTCCTTCAGGAGCTCTTTTAGGACAGGCTTGGTGGTGACAGAATCTCTCAGCATTTGCTTGTCTGTGAAGGATTTTATTTCTCCTTCACTTATGAAGCTTAGTTTGGCTATGAAATTGGATATGAAATTCTGTGTTGAAAATTCTTTTCTTTAAGAATGTTGAATATTGGCCCCCACTCTTTTCTGGCTTGTAGGGTTTCTGCCAAGAGATCCACTGTTAGTCTGATAGGCTTTCCTTTTTGGGTAACTTGACCTTTCTCTCTGGCTGCCCTTAACACTTTTTCCTTCATTTCAACCTTGGTGAATCTGACAATTGCGTCTTGTGGTTGCTCTTCTCAAGGAATATCCTTTGGAGGGGAAGAGGTGCTCTGATTTTAGAATTTTCAGCTTTTTTTCTCTGGTTTCTCCCCATCTTTGTGGTTTTATCTACCTTTGGTCTTTGATGTTGGTGACCTACAGATGGGGTTTTGGTGTAGATAACCTTTTTTTTGATGTTGATGCCATTCCTTTCTGTTTGTTAATTTTCCTTCTAATAGTCAGGTCCCTCAGCTGCAGGTCTGTTGGAATTTGCTGGAGTTCCACTCCAGACCCTCTTTGCCTGGGTATCACGAGAGGAGGCTGCAGAGCAGCAAATATTGCAGAACAGCAAATATTGCTGCCTGATCCTTCCTCTGGAAGCTTCATCCCAGAGGGGCAGCTGCCTATATGAGGTGTCTGTCAGCCCCTACTGGCAGATGTCTCCCAGTTAGTCTACATGGGGTTCAGGGACCCACTTGAGGAGGCAGTCTCTCCGTTCTCAGAGCTCAAACGCTGTGCTGGGAGAATCATTGCTCTTCAGAGCTGTCAGACAGGGACGTTTAAGTCAGCAGAAGTTGTCTGCTGCCTTTTGTTCAGCTATGCCTTGCCCACAGAGATGGAGTCTGGAGTCAGTAGGCCTTGTTGAGCTGTGGTGGGCTCTGCCCAGTTCGAGCTTCCTGGATGCTTTGTTTACCTACTCAAGCCTCAGCAATGGCGGATGTCCCTCCCCCAGCCAGGCTGCTGTCTCACAGATCAATCCCAGACTGTTGCACTACCAGTGAGCAAGCCTCCGTGGGCATGCATGAGAGAGAACCACCTTGTCTGCTGGTTGCTAAGACCTTGGGAAAAGCGCTGTATTTGGGCAGGAGTGTCCTGTTCTTCCAGGTAGTCTGTCACGGCTTCCCTTAGCTGGGAAAGGGAAATCCCCCGATCCCTTGCGCTTCCCAGGTGAGGCGATGCCCTGCCCTGCTTTGGCTCACCCTCCATGGGCTGCATCCACTGTCCAACCAGTCCCAATGAGATGAACCAGGTACCTCAGTTGGAAATGCAGAAATCACCCATCTTCTGCATCAATCACACTGGGAGCTGCAGACCAGAGCTGTTCCTATTTGGCCATCTTGGAATGCCCCTAGGGTGAGATTTTATCTCAATGTGGTATTGACTTGCATTTCCCTTATGATTTTTAATGATGTTGAACATTTTTCATATACCTGTTGGCTATTTGGATGTCGTCTTCTGAGAAATGTCTATTTAGATCTTTTGCCACCTTGCTTTCTTTCAGTAATGGGGTCTCACTATGTTGCCCAAGCTGGAGTACAGTGGTTATTCACAGGTGCAATCCTAGGACACTACACTCTCATACTCCTGGGCCTAAGCAATCCTCCTGTCTCAGTCTCTTTGTTGCTGGAACTAATGGTACACACCATTACACCCAGCTTTCCCATTTTAAAATTGGGTTATTTGTGTTTTTGCCATTGAATTGCTTGAGTTCCTTGTATATTCTGGTTATTAATCCCCATGGAATAAATAGTTTGCAAAGATTTTTGTCCATTCTGTAGGTTGTCTCTTTACTTTGTTGATTGTTTTCTTTGCTGTGCAGAAGGTTTTTAGCTTGATTTAATCCCATTTGACAACTTTGCTTTGGTTACCTGTGCTTGTGGGGTAGTACTCAAGAAATATTTGCTCAGACCAGTGTACTGAAGCACTTCCCCCATGCTTTCTTTTAGCAGATTTATAATTTCGGGTCTTACATATAGTTTTTAATCTATTTTGGGTTGATTTTTTTATATAGTGAGAAATTGAGTTATTTTTATTCTTCTGCATATGGATACCCAGTTTTCCCAGCATCATTTATTGAAGAGACTGTCCTTTCCACAATGTATGTTCTTAACACCTTTATCAAAAGGGAATTGGCTGTATGTGGATTTTTTTCTGCGTTCTTTATTCTGTTCCATTGGTCTATGCATCTGTATTTTTATTTTGAAATTAGGTAATGTTTGCCTCCAGCTTTGTTCTTCCTACTGAAGATTACTTTGGCTATTCAAGGTCTTTTGTGATTCCTTAGAAATTATAGGATTTTTTTCTACTTCTATAAAGAATGTCATTGATATTTTTGTAGGAACTGCATTATGTATGTATATAACTTTGGGGAGTATGGACATTTTAACAATATTAATTCTTCCAATCCATGAACATGGGCTACCTTTTCATTTTTGTATCCTCTTCAATTTCTTTCATCAGTGTTTCATGGTTTTTATTATAGAGATCTTTCACTTCTTTCATCAAGTTTATTATTTTTGGTAACTATTTTAAATGGGATTGCTTATTTGATTTCCTTTTCAGATTGTTCACTTTTGGTATACAGAAATATCACTGATTTTCATATGTTGGTTTTGTATCCTGCAACTTAACTGAATTCATATATCAATTCTAACAGTTTTTTGGTGGAGTCTTTAGGCTATTCTAAATGTAAGACCATGTCATCTGCAAACAAGAACAATTTGACTTCTTCCTTTCCAATTTGGATGCCCTTTGTATCTTTCTTTTTTCTAATTGCCCCAAGATTTCCATTACTATGTTGAATATTGTGGTAGAACTGTTGAATATTGTGGTAGAACTGGCCATCTTTGTCTTGTTTCAGTCCTTAGAGGAAAAGGTTTCCATTTTCCCCTTCATTATGAGCTAGCTGTGGGTTTATCATTTATGGCTTTATTGTTTTGAGTCATGTTCCTTCTATAGCCCAGTTTCTTGAGAGTTTTTATCATGAAGGAACATTTAATTTTACTGATGTTGAATAGATGCTTTTCCAGAATCTATTGGCATGGTCATTTGGTTTTTGTCCTTAATTCTAGTAATGTGATATTTATTTATTTGTGTATGTTGAGCCATTCTTGCATATCTGGGATGAACATTACTTGTACATGGTGAATGATCTTCACCAAGTTGTTTAATTAAGTTTGATATATTTTGTTGAGGATTTTTTCATCTATGTTCATCAAGAATATTGACCTGTAGTTTAATATTTTTTTGTTTTGTCTTTGTCTGGTTTTGGTACAAGGGTAATGCTGGCATTGTAGAATGAGCTTGGAAGTATTACTTCCACTTCAGTTTTTTTTAAGAGTTTTAGTAAAATTGATATTAGTTAGCCTTTAAATATTTGGTAGAATCCAGCAATGAAGCCATTAGGTCCTGGGATTTTCTTTGATGGGAGATTTTTTTACTATTGCTTCTTTCTCATTACTCATTATTGGCCAGTTCAGTTTTCACATTTCTTCATGGTTCAATCTTGGTAGTCATAATTATGAGTCCAGGAATATATCCTTTTTGTCTAGCATTTTTTCATTTATTGGAGTATAGTTGTTCATCCAACACATGCATTTTTAGAGGACACACATTCAAACCATACCAGGAAGTGATCAAGTTATAAGGGTGAAACCCTAATAAATGAGATAAGTGTCCTTATAAAAAGAAACTCAAGTGAGCTCCCTTCCCCACTTCCACCATGTGAGGACACAGAAGGCACCATCTGTGAGGAGCATGTCCTCACCAAACACCAAATCTGCTAGCGCCTTGATCTTGGACTTCCCAGCCTCCAGAAATGAAAATAATAGACTTCTGTTGTTCATAAATTACCCCACCTAAGATATTTTGGTATAGCAGCCTAAATGGACTAAGATATTGATTATATAAAAAAATGACCAATTTGTGAGATAAGTAGGGAAGAAAAGGGCAGAGGGACAAGGGGATGCAAAGAAGAGAGGAAGAGAGAAACAGTGGGAGAATAAGACAGAGAGAGGCATAGAAAGAGAAAAGCAGGAAGAAGATGATTGACAGATATAGAGAGGTTACAGCACTTTTGTTTTATGACCCTTTAAGGGCAGAAATGGATGGCAGAGTAAAAATATGAACAAGGTCAAAGCAATGTGGCTAAAACATTCTTTTATATAACTAAACAGAAAGGTCATATAAGGCATATAATTTTAGAATATAGGTTGTGAAAGGTCTATATGTACCAGGTAATAAATTTTTATTTTATGCTGTTTGCCAATGTTTTTCCAAAGTGTACTCCATGAAGACTTAATGACTCATAAAGAAAAAGGTTTATTTAAATGTATTTCAGAAATACTACAGATTATATCTCTCTCTGAAAGTGTTATAACACATGTCAGCATACTTACATCTCTAAGGAATCCTGAGAAAATATACTTGGTGATAATTAGTTCAATCTGTGTTTACCAATCATACTTAAGGGCAGAATAATTTTTTCTGTGTATAAATCCCTATTTGTATCCTGTAGAACATACTTTGGAAATACAGTCAATCATGAGCCACAGTTAAATGTTTAGACTAAAAAAGACAAGAGAAACATACAGTTTAGGAAGATAAAATCTCATGGCTATGTGCTATATGGATGAAACAGACTAAGACTAAAACCATGGGGGGATTGGCGTGGGCAATTAATAGGTTATACTAATAATCAAGAGGATATACCAGGTATTCAATTTGTATGGGAATAATCAGAATTAAAAGATATGGGTAAGTGTGAGAAATGTTATATCAGAGATGTTGATTGTTACCAGACTGACAGCCCCTACTGAGACTGCCACCTTTTATATCATGTCACTTCACAACCTAATTAAACCAGAATGAGAATCTGATACAAAGTGACATGTCCACAGCTGGCCAGCAATTATGACTTTTATTGTCTGGCTTAAAAACAAAAGTTAAATAAGGTTTCTCATTCAAGAGTTTGAAAGTGTGAAAACAGAGACTGAGACTTGTAGCAGATAGATACAGATATATGTGTGTGTATGTGTATATATATATACACACATATATACACTATCTATATATATATATATTGCTATATATGTGCCACATATATATATAGCAATATATATGGAGAGATCCAAGAGACTATACACAGTGCTCACTTTTCATATTCAATATATATGCAGACTTGAGATCTAAAATCTATATTAAGGCATGTTTGTGTATGAAATATAAATAGCATTTATATTACCATCTGCAGGGTAATATCTTGAAATATTAATCTTTGTGCTTGGTTTTCCCCACCTCCCTAAGTAAAATTTTTCCACCAGTGAGTCAGAGGTGTTTATATTGCCTCCAAGCAAAGTAGGAATTTTTAGGATATGAATGAAACAAGCAGTAAGTAGTCACTATAGAAGGAAGCCCTGAAGGAAGCAGGACATAAAGTTTATGCTATAATAGTTAAACAGAATGAAGAATAGTGAAGAAACACACCACTTCATATGCATGCACACACAAAGTGAAAACAGGTTCATCTAGGCTGGAGAGAAGAGAGGGAGATGGGAAAGAGGAGCTAGGTGGGACACACCCTTACAGCAAGTTAGGGAGTAGACAATGAGAAGGGCAGAAATGGGGGATGAATAACTGCATGGAGGGATACTGTGTCCTCATAGGGAGACTGCCTATCACCCTTACTGGCCAGCAGCAGGGAATCAAGTCAACATGTGGTAATAACGTCAACAAGTAGAGACTACTCAGCATCTGGACAGAGCAAGATGTCTCTGGTGGTGGAGTGGGATTTCCATCTACAGACAGAACTTCTTGCATAAATACTCCTGCCACTTACTCCAAAATTTCATGAGCTGTATTTGTCTGTTCAGAAAATACAAAATGTCACAGACTGGGCAGATTAAACAAACAGGAATTTATTTCTCACAGTGAGGAAGGCTGGGAAGTCCAAGATCAAGGTGCTGGCTGCTTCAGTTCAGGAATGGCTCTCTTCCTGGCTTATAGCCAACTTCTCACTGTATCTTCACATGATAGAGTAAACTCTCTGGTATTTCTTCTTAAAAGAGGACTAATCCCATCATCAGGGCCCCACCCTCATCACCTCACCTAAACCTGATTACCTCTAAAGGCCTCATCTCCAAATGCCATCACATTTCAGGGTAGAGAGTTGGGGCTTCAGTGTATGAATTTTAGGGGAAGATAATTCAGTCTATAACATTATTCCCTGGCCTCCTAACATCCATGTCCTTCTTGCATGCAAAATACATTGATTACATTCCAACAGCCCCCAGAATCTTAACTCATTCTGGCACCAACTCTAAAGTCTAAACTTTAAAGTCTCATCTAAATATTATATAAATCAGATATGGTTAAGACTTGATGCAAAATTCTTCTCCATCTATGAGCTAAAGAAGAAAAATTGGGGTGAGCAGATAACCAGACAAGTATGTGCTCCCAAAATGCAATGGTGGGACAGGCATAAGATAGATATTCTAATTCCAAAAGTGAGAATAGGAAAGAAGAAACAGGTGATGGCTACCAAACAAGTATGAAAGTTAGAAAGACAAATTCCATCAAATCTTAAAGCCTGAGGATAATCCTGTTTGGATCCATTCTCTGCCTCTGGACCCACTGGGGCAGTGGTTCTGCTTCTGTGACTCTGCAGGGTACTCCGGCCCCCATGGCTTCTTGTGGAAGCTGTCTATCCCAGTGAAACTGAGGAAGTAGCCCTGCTGATCTCTGGATGAACTTCAGGGTCATTTTTCCTTGTTCTTGTAGAGCAAAGCAAATTTGCAGCCAAATACTTTGTTGTCCAGCCCTGTCAAATCCAGTAATTCTTACAGCCTTCCTTTATTTTATCTCACTTTTTCTGTTCCCTTTTAGTTGAAACTGTTCTTGCTGGTTTAATCCCATCTCTATTCCTGGCTTCTGTTGAAATGGCTGATTAAGTCCATGAGTCCCAAACATGATCTTTTTATCAAGTGGTTATTCTGTCACACCTTTAGCGTTCTCTTCAGAAAAATCTTTCCCATTTTTACAATATTATGCAATAAACTGAGAATTTTCCACATCTCCAAGTTCTGATTCCTTTTTGATTAACAATTTCTTCATCAATTAATCTCTCTTCTTTTGCATTTTACTGGAAGCATTCAAGAGGAATTTTCAACACTTTCCTTAGAAATCTCCTCAGCTAAATATCCAATCTCATCACTCACAAGTTCTACCTTCTACGAAACACTAAAACACAGCTCAACCAAGTGTAAGTATTAACTTTTGTCCAGTTTCCAATTATTGGTGTTCTTCACTCCAATCTGAGTTTTCACCAGAATTGCCTTGAATACCCATATTTCTAATACATACCTCAACACTCTTCCAGCCTCTACCCATTACCCAGTTTCAAAGCCATGTTCGTGTTTAAGTATTTGTTACAGTTGCACCTCACTTCTTAGTACTAAGTTTTGTATTAGTCTAGGTTCTTCAGAGAAACAGAAGCAATAGAATACATATAGACAGAAAGATATTTATTATAAAGAATTGGTTCACATGGTTATAGAGGCTGACAAGTCTCAAGATCTGTGGTCAGCAAACTAGAGACCCAGGAGAGCTGATGGCATAAACTCCGGTTCAAGTCCAAAGGCCTGAGAATCAGGAGAGCCAATGGCAAAAGTTCCAGTCTAAGTCCAAGTCCAAAGGTAAGAGAAGACTGATATCACAGTGTAAAGATAGGAAGAAAGAGAAAATTCTCCCTTACTAAGCCTTTTTGTTCTATTCAGACCCTCAGCAGATTGGATGAGAGTCACCCACATTAGAGAGGGCAATCTGCTTTCCTGAGTCCACTAATTTAAGTGTTAGTCTCATCCAAAGCACCTTCATGGATACACTCAAATAATGTTTAACCAACTGTCTGGACATCTCCTGGCCCAGTCAGGTTGACATATAAAATAAACCATCACAGGCTGGGCATGGTGGCTCATGCCTGTAATCTCAGCACTTTGGAAAGCCAAAGTGGGAGGATGGCTTGAATCCAGGAGTTTGAGACTAGCCCTGGCAGCACAGCAAGACCTCATCTCTACAAAACTTAAAATAAAAAATAAAAATTAAGCATCACATAAATGGCATTCATAGGGCTCCTGAATAGGCAGATGGGGTCTTTGTCACCCAGAGGGGTAGTAAATATGAGAAAGTAAAGCCCTAGCATCAATAATTGAGTAGGCCTGGAGCATAGTATGTTCTGTCCATGTTAAATAGTAAACAACAGATTTTCTATACAACTTTTATTTTGAAATTTCATTACTTTTATGAACCTAACTATAGAAGTTCAAATTGAACATAGTTTTGTGGTCCTGCATGCTTAAGCAAATAAGAATGAAAATAAAACTGCATGAAAACAAAAACCTTTCTAACTTTAATAACTGCAGTTTGCTTTATTTATTCCAAAACTCTCTGGATCTGAGGACCACCTATGTAGGAGAAATTAAAAACTAAATGAAAATATGCTTATTCTACATTCCATGCCTCCAATTTAATTTTTAAGCCTTTATCACCCTAAAAATGCTCAACTATTGTTTTATCTTTTGGCATAGAATAAGTTTCATAACAAAGATTCCAGTAACAGTAAATCTGATGTTTATAGTCTCAATTTGGTTTTTTTTTTGTTTCTATAATATCTCTACATGAGTTTATATTAACATTTTCTTCATCTCAGTTTTCTCTCTGTTCTTCTTGGTACTAATGTTTGTAAGGGGGCTATGTTTCTAGACCCCAGGATGTAAACCCACTTTCCTAAACTGTAATTCTCCACTCAGATACAATATTTTGGTTTCATCAGCTTGTTTGATTTTTTTACGTGTTTACAATTTTCTGTTGCTTCAACGGAGTTTTGAAGATTAAACAGGATATTCCTTTCCAGTCTCCTCATCAAGGTGTTCTCCTTGCCTATGGTAGTCACACATTCTGCCTCCTCTAGAAATCCACCCCTATGGGTAAGGTGATTAGGGCTTCTGAACTAAGAATTAGGATGTGTAATTTGACCAATCGAGTGTTCTGATAATGACACAAAACCTGCATTCTCTCTGGATGGAAGCCTCAAATGCAATTGAACCACTCTGCGTAAATCAGAGGTAGGACATAGATGTTAAACTTGTTTCTTTTTTTAATATTGGATTGTGTTTGGTATAATCCCTCCCAAAAATTTATCTCTAAGTTATTTCTAGGCCTTAATCTCTAAATTGGGAAGTTATTTATTCAGCACATATTGAACAAGCAACTACAATATGTTTGGCACTGAACTTCAGTTAGAAGCTGAAGATAAAATGGTGAACAAAACATACTGATGCCTACAGTCTAATAGGGAAGACAGACTTTAATCAGATATCATAAATCATTACCATTTTACCCCAACCTGCCTCTTCTCTCTTTTTCTTGGCTTTCTTGATTACTCTCTGTTAATTTGTCTCTACCTTTAGCAGCATCTTTAGCAGCCCTTTAGCAGCTCTTTAGCAGCTCTTTCTTTCTCCACCAGTATCATAGGGTTTTTTTCCTAACTCTGCATCCTGCCACTCTATATATTCTCCCTGAAACTTGACATACTTCATGGCTTCTACTTTTACCTAAATGCTGAAGATTCCAGAAATTCTCTCTCCTTCCTAGATCTCAGTAATCCCCTTGCCCCACCCCAAAGGAACCACTAAATCTCTCATCAAATATCGGAATTAATCTCTTAGAAATAGTTAATGAATTAGTTAGAATTAGTTACTCCTTCATCTGTTATACCATTGTCCCAATGACATACTTCTATTAATGCATCCATTAGAAGGTACTGGGTTCACAGTGTCATTTATCTCAGTAGTCTTAATACAGAGCAAAAGAGCTGGAAAAATAGATGATGAATAAATACTTATTGAATGTCGTTGGATAAGAGAATGCCTCTACAGTTTTTGTGTGTGTGTGTCTGTGTGTCTGTGTGTGTGTGTGTGTGTGTGTGCTTTAGAGGAATTGAACTGCCTGCTTTAGAGGAATGGAAATGTGCTTTCTCATTCTTTGTATGGAAACTGAAGAGCAGGGAGGCAGATAGAAGCAGTAAGTAGAATACAAGTCAGAAGTAAAAAGTAAAAATCATAAATAGAACCTGCTATTTACTGATGATGTGTCATATAGAATAAAGGGTTATTAAGCACAGATTTGGAATTGGCCCCTATTTGTTTTGATGTGGTTTAGGATTCAGTTTATTTATAAATAACAGAAAAAAATATGATAGTTGTACTGGAAATTATTTTCAAGTCTACTCTTTTCTCTTATAAAAGTCCAGGCAGGCAATCCTGGGCTGAACAGCACTTCACATTGTTAGAGAACATATATCCTTCTGTCTTATTTCTCTGTCACATGCAACTTCAACCTCAAGGTCCAAAATGGTAACGTGCATTCCAAGAAGCAGGATAGGGTAAAGAACAAAGAAGCACAGCACAAACATTACATGAGCATTGTCTCCCTGGGAAGGCTTCCAGAAGATGTCACATAACACTTCCACTTGCCTCTCATAGCCTAGTTCTGTGACCAAAGAGAGGCTAGGAAATGGACTCTTCATCCTGGTATATCATGTTTCAAGCTTTAAATTCTGTTGCTGTAAACAGAGGAAAAAATGGATATGGACTTACACGCTTTTGTTTTTGCCTCTTTCTATTTCAGGCCTTGTCCATGATGTTACATATAAGGTAATTAGCACACTACATTCACTCAACAAATATTTACTATTATTGTTATTACTATTCACTGTAATCATCTGCCAGTTCTCCTACATCCAAACAAACTGGCTACTTTGTCCCAATGACTAGTTAGCTATATGTTAAGATTTTGGATGTTAGAGCCTTTATCAGTCCTTGAACACTATATAAACTGTACCCTGATCTTGATAAAGTAATAATGACTAAATTACTAATGGCCAACTGATACTCTTGGAGTTGTCTAGCATCACCAGAGAGTTAGTGAGGTACTGGTCAATTTGATTAAATGTTATTTCATGTTATGACCTTACTTTTTACTTGAGAGAGATAAACTAATCATAACCACATAAAATTCAAAGTCTCACAGATGAAACATCCATCTCACAGAAGCTTCTTGAACTTTACTCCCAAAGTGATTGGCCAGACCATTCTACATAACTGCACCAAAACCAACGATATTGAGTCCCCATTTCTCTAATGTGTTTTAAAGGATTGCTATGCTTCGTTGATTTGATAATGCTTATCTTTTATTTCCTTTCTAAGAAACTAAAATTTATAGAGTAAGCTCTTGGCAAGTGAGTCATTTGAGAAAGCTACAGGATATTTCACCTGTAAGATAAGACTAAGGGCTACTACTAGCAGACAAGATAAGTCTCCTGGTTACTTGTTTGCTGGAAGTCATTATTCACAGTCTCCTGCCCGGATTACTGAAAGCATGTTACTCAGGTCCTAAGGAATTGCTTCTTTGTTCTCTGTAACCTTAACTGTAGTGATCACTGTATTAAATGTTACAAAGTAGTCCTGGAGTTTTATTAATGAGCCCATCAGCTAAATTATAGTGATCATTAAAACTGCCAGTTCGTGTCAAAATGTTTTGACTATCAAATTCAGACAAATTAATCATTCTTTTAAATATGCTCTATTAGCAACCTGATTCTTTTTTCTGGTCCAGGATGTCATTTGGCAGGGTTTCTATTTCTTCCCTTTTGCAGGCTGGCAATTAAATGAAGGACAAATGGGTAGAAACAACCTTTTTGGGAAATTTTTTAAATGAGTTAATGATCCATTCCGTAAGCATTACAAACTGAAGGTGAGTCACTAAAGCTAATGACATTTATAATCAGTATTTGCAAAGAGCATCAGGTAATCAGTTAGAGCAGAAGAACAGGATAATGGCATTTCAGATGAGAACACACTTTTCAGAGGCTGATAACTTCTGCCAACAAATTGTCAGTGATATCTTGTTCAAAATAAAAAGGAATCTTCAAAATTTTATAAAGTGATAAAAGTCAGAAGATGTTTGATAAGTTGAAGAAGAGAGAAATATTGACTGAGAGAGCAGGGTTTTTTATAAAAATTGACAGGGACTTCAAGATATGTTTGATAATGATTGAACTGGGTTACATAAAGTGACACATCTTGCTGCCTTGCTTCTTTTTCTGATCAAAATTGAGACTTAGTAAATTGTATAATTTTTCTTGCTTCTGTCCCCTCTCTTGTCATTGCCATGAAGTCTGTGATAGTTGCTTCTATTTTTGAAGCATAACCAGGATTTAGTTTTAAAATTTAAACAATTGTATAAAGTGGCTACTCAAGCACTTACTAGGGCTGTAGGAAATACTATATAGAAGTAGTATTTTCTTCCATGAGGTGTGGCAATCATTTCTTTTTAAAAATAGTATTTTTATACTATTTCTTTAAAGGAAAAAATTATTTTGAATTTTTCAGCAGCAGAATTTGTCTCCCAATTAGTGAAATGATTTACATTAAGCAAGGATGGTGATATGCCACAGTTTTGCCCCTTCTGATGTCAAAATCTCAGATCCTAATTATCAAAGTGACAAAGTCTTCTCAAATTGCCTCCTTCCTCTCCCCACCAACATGAGAAGTGATATATTTAAATAAAATAATCTATTTTAAGCTTCTACGTTTACAATTTTAGAGATATTTTAATGAAGTCAATGAACTTGTACAAAAACATATTCAGAATTCATACCCTGTGAATTCACAGAATTCATTATTCACAGTATTATATCACAGTATACAGAATTCACAGTAATTCAGAATTCATTACTGTGATTCACCTACTTGGCTTCTAGGAATTAGAAGGTTAAAGACAAAAATGGTTGGAAAACTTAGAACTATTAACATTGGATACAAAGGCAAAATTAGGCTTCTGATTCAGTACTTAGTAGGGTCTTTCATAGATGAGATCAATACAGGCTGTTCCTTCTGTCACAACCAGAGTTTCCTAGTGGGTTGAGTGTTCTCTTTCAGAGCAGAGGTTGCAACTGTGGTCATTGCCTTTCCCACTCCCCAGCCACATCATTTCTCATTCATTGGCCTTTTCCTTGAACTATCTCTATGCAAGATGTGCAGGAGGCATGGGAGGGATCAAGGTATTGATCATGCAGCATCCATCTGCTTTTCCTTTCTTCTTTCCTTCAGCTTCCAATTCCAAGTTTGAGCAAAAACAAAAGAATTCACATTTATTGAATGCCTCCTATGAACTAGTACTGGGCTCAAAATTTTACACATATAATTTCATTTAATTCTCTCTACAGTAATGCCCTATTTTGTGGATGAGGAAATCTAGACTGATAAGAGTCCCACGGTCACAGAGTGAAGAAATGGGAACATTGGGCTGTCCAGCTTTTTCCACTCAGTACACCATACCGTGTCTATGTCACCTGGATCTAAGAGTTAGTTGAGGTTGGGATAAGAGAAATAAAAGGCTAACCATGATGCTAAAATGTCTGAATCATTATTGACTTACCGGCTTGTCAACAATCTAATACACAAGGAGAGCAAATTTTCTATAATGGAAAGTTAAGTTTTGTTGTTGCTGTTGTTGTTGTTGTTGTTGAGATGGAGTCTCACTCTGTCACCCAGGCTGGAGTGCAGTGGCGTGATCTCAGCTCACTGCAACCTCCACCTCCTGGGTTCAAGTGATTCTCCTGCCTCAGCCTCCCAAGTAGCTGGGATTACAGGCGTGTGCCAACATGCCCAGCTAATTTTTGCATTTTTAGTAGAGGCAGAGTTTCAGCATGTTGGCCAGGCTGGTCTTGAACTCCCGACCTCAGGTGATCAACCGGCCTCAGACTCCCAAAGTGCTGGGATTACAGTCGTAAGCCACTGCACCCAGCCAAGAAGTTTAATATTAATAAGAATTAAATAAGATCTGTATTTGGCATGGAGACATTTATGGTTATGGTAATTCTGTTACACTATGCAATTAATATGTCATATATCACTTGAAATTTTTGTATGCCAATTATAAACTTTATATTCCATTTTCAATGTGCTTAATGTGTATTTTCAAAGGCATTTGGAGAATATTTCTCTCCTGTAAAACATTTGAGTCAATATTCAGGTTAATTTTATAATCTTCATAAATGTATTAAAACCTTTCATATTAGTTATCACCCTGCTCAATACTTCATCAGGATTCTGACTTAAGCATTTCTTCGACTGGAATTTGTCATTTACTACAGTTAATAGTGCATAACAATACCCAAGCCCCTACTTTATGCAGTTTTTTAGCATGTGGAAACTACATGCTGACATAATTTTACTATTCATTGCAATAGAAATACAATATCCACCATATAGCCGAAAGTGCTTTTGCACTCATTTATTCACAAATTTCATCTACTCAAGAGTTATTCACTTAGAAATGTATTTATTCAATCACTTTGACCCTGTTGAACACCGATTCTGTTTAGGGTATGCCCATCTTGCAGGATAATATTTTCAATGTTTTTGTCATTTCTAATTATCTTGCCTTTTATATCTACAAATATTTTATTTTTGATTTCATTGTTAACTTGACCCCTGGTAGAACAAGTGGCTTTCTACCTGTTTTGCATATTGTGTTTTGTTAGAGGAAGGTGTTTGAAGAAAAACTTCATAAAAGAAGTTTTAATTTTGAGTAGGAGTTCATCAAGAAAAAAAATAATTAGGAGTTTAGTATTTTTAAAGTCCAGATAAGTAAGCTGAATCACTGATACAAGTGGTCCATAAGACACAGCAAAAGTGTAGCCAATACCTTTTCTGTGTTTGGAGGAGAATGAGGGAATTCAGCTCCTAGAGCTGAGGATGATAAGATCATAGCATATAAGGACTCAGTATTCTTCAGCTGGCTGGCAGTACTGTAAAAATAACCATAAGACAACCCTAGATCTAGAAAACACATTCCATGAGAGTGCCTAGAACAATTTCTGCCATATAGCAGGCTCTCTTTAAAAAATGATGCCTGAATGCCCTGGTGACTTGGTATATAAATTGTAAAGTGCTCAGAACTCTTCCACTTTATTGTTGTTGGTACATCTGTATTTTCTCCTACATAGCCTGTTATTTCATGTCCAAAAAGAAAGGGGACAGAAATTGATGGGTGAGGACTTAGGGATGCTTATTGAGCCAATGAGCTAGAGATGCCCTTCTAAGTCTGTATGACAGTTTTTTCCTACTTGACCCCTCTTTCAATAAGGATGCCTATTTTCCTTTTTCTTATTTCATGAGGCTGCTTATGGCAATAGACCCTAAAAGAAGGAGCTCTACTTGGACAGATGGTCTGAGAAGACCGTAGGCCTAAGGAAAAAACTCTTTCTCATTCTTCCTTGTTCTATTTGTTCTTACATTGTGTGTCCTAACTTTCAGAGTATTTCTGGAAGGGGTGTGCCTAGAGGCAGGATACTAGGAACCCATGGTAACCTCTAGATGCGGCCTCATGGCTCAGCCTTATCCTATATCACATAGCATCATAATTTGGAACCAAACTCTTTCTTCACCTGGCTTTGTCTCTCTATTTGGATAAACTGAGGCCTGACATTCAAAACAAATCCCAATTCATAACCCTCATGATAGGTGGAAACAACCTCATAAGGAGGTGTTCTGTGGACTGGACTGTAGCAAGAAGGACATTTCCAATGACTATCACAAGAGAGAAATATTACCAGGAAAAAAATTGAGGTCAAAAAGCTAGAAGAAACTGACTAACTGCATCAAACTAAAGGAGCAAAAACAGGAAAAGAAATAGGAAATTAATAATGGCCCAGATGTGGTGGTGGCTTCTGCCAGTAATCCCAGCACTCTAGGATGATAAAGGGAGTGGATGGCTTGAGGTCAGGAGTTCAAGACCAGCCTGGCCAACGTGGTGAAACCCCATCTTTACTAAAAATACAACAAAATTAGCTGGGCATGGTGGTACATGCCTATAGTCCCAGCTACTTGGGAGGCTGAGGCAGGAGAATCACTTGAACCCAGAAGGCAGAAGTTATAGTGAGCCAAGATCATGCCACTGCACTCCAGCCTGGGTGACAAAGTGAGACTCTGTCTTAATAATAGTAATAATAATAAGCTTAGTGGATGGGGAATCCATAGAATGGATAAGGTTGCAATGTAAGTTGCCCTGAGCTCACAAGAATCTGCTGCATTTGTGGACTGCATAAAAGAGCTGATATCTGACAGTTTAAAGACTTTCAGGAACATTTCTCTTTCCTTCCTTCATTCTTTTAGTACTGACTGTGAATCAATCTCCCCTCCTTTCTCTCACACATACACACATAGAGGCATAGAATATAGAATTTTTGAGTATTTTCTGCTGGTAAAGAAGTCTCTTAGGTAATGGAGAAAAATAAACTCAGGTTCTGGGCTATCATTTAGCATACTATTGTTCTCTCTACTTATATACTTAGTATGCATTTTAATGTCTTCATTTTGAGTACTAATATGTATTCTTCTTACACCTGTGTTTTATTTTAAATTTCCCACTGTAAAATTTATAGTTCAGAAATATCAGATTACTTACAATCACTCTCAACACACACACTCACACACTCACGCATTCACACTTACAGCTGTAAACTCCTCAAGGTCAAAGATTGTGTGACTTATACATTTTTATATTCATCACGCCCAGCATAAGTATTCAGTACATGTTCAATAAAATTAATTAATTTATTTTAAGATGAGTAAGGAAAGACCAAACATGTGCATAGAGAAAGCCAACCCAAAAAAGCATGAGAATATTACTCCCTGTTGGGTAGTTCATAGCTGAGTAGCTTATAGGCCATCAAGGCATATCAATTTAAGCTCTTCTGTTCCCACAAAGTTGACAGAAAATGACTCAAGTAACAGGCATGAGAGAACCTTCCCTTGACATGTTGTAGTAAGAAAGTAAAGCTCTGTAGGAGTAATTTGCATTCTCTTAATAATCTTGTTTGGTAAGGAAATATCTCTGAAGCCTTTTTTCCTGCTGTTCAAATTCATCACCACTTCTTTACCCTTCCTTATTGCCAGTTTTCCATCTCATTTATGTTGTCATCTCTTTATCGCGTTCCTTCTTTCAGTTTTCCTTAATTTACCATTTTTAGCACATAGTCCTACTCTGACTTCAACTAGAGCTGATTAAGATAGGAGGATTTCTGTTCATCCATGTTTCACTTATTTTTTCACACATCTCTTTGCTCTTTAAATAAATTTACATTACTGGTCACTCATTTTGAGTTCTCAGGTCCTTTCTGGGTACATCTGCCTGCACGCTCTTACCTGTATATTTGCAAACTATTTTCTTCTTCTGATAGAATGATCCTATATCTTCCATTTTCAACTGTGTCCTATATCCTTCCTTTTTCAGGTGCCATTGTATTCTTAATTCTCATATTGTTCATTTTGCTGCCGTTCTCCAGACCTCTCATGAACCCGTTGGCAAAAATACATTTTATGAGCATTATTTCCATTTAACCATTCAAAGCACTCTTGTCAATATCAAATGACCTCTCATACAGCTAGATTGTGCAGATCTCTTTGCAATATATTTTGCTCACATGTTACCTAAGGTACAACTGCTAATAATAGTCAACATATTATTCGTAGTCAAACTCCATTGTAATGAATTTAAAGAGGTATTCACACTTTTTCACCATCTTAAAGTTTCATTACACAGAATTCAGTATTACTCATATGAAGAGGCCACAAGTCCTGCTTTATCACTTTAATCAGCCAAATACCCTTAATTTTCTGCCCATCATTGCTGAATGTGCTAAACCATAGCTAGCCTCCTTTCTAAAGTGTAAGGACTCAGTTGAAAGATAGATTTAGTTCATCAGAGTGAACAGGCAACCTACAGAATGGGAGAAAATTGTTGCAATCTATCCATCTGATGAAAGTCTAATATCCAGAATCTACAAGGAACTTAAACAAATTTACAAGAAAGAACAACCCCATCAAAAAGTAGGCAAAGGATATGAAAAGACACTTCTCAAAAGAAGACATTTATGCAGCCAACCAACATATGAAAAAAAGCTTATCATCGCTGGTCATTAGAGAAATACAAATCAAAACCACAATGAGACACCATCTCACGCCAGTTAGAATGACGATCCCTAAAATGTCAGGAAATAACAGATGCTGGAGAGGATGTGGAGAAATAGGAACGCTTTTACACTGTTCGTGGGAGTGTGAATTAGTTCAACCATTGTGGAAGACAATGTGGCGATTCCTAAAGGATCTAGAACCAGAAATACCATTTCACCCGGCAATCCCATTACTAGGTATATACACAAAGGATTATAAATCATTCTGCTATAAAGACACATGCACACATATGTTTACTGCAGCATGATTTACAATAGCAAAGACTTGGAACCAACCCAAATGCCCATCAATGATAGACTGGATAAAGAAAATGTGGCACATATACACCATGGAATACTATACAGCCATAAAAAAGATGAGTTCATGTCCTTTGCAGGGACATCGATGAAGCTGGAAACCATCATTCTCAGGAAACTAACACAGGAACAGAAAAGCAAACACTGCATATTCTCACTTATAAGTGGGAGTTGAACAATGAGAACACATGGACACAGGGAAGGGAACATTATGCACCAGGGCCTTTCGGGGGTTGCTGGGGAAGGGGAGGGAGAGCATTAGGAGAAATACTTAATGCATGTAGGCCTTAAAACCTAGATGACAGGTTGATGGGTGCAGCAAACCACCATGGCACATGTATACCTATGTAACAAACCTGCATGTTCTGCACATGTATCCCAGAACTTAAAATATAATTTAAAAAAAAGATAGATATAGTTTAACGTCAGATTAAGCCAATAAAAATACAGAACACTCAGTTAAATTCAAATTTCAGATAGTCAAAAGTTTTTTTTACAAGTGTAATCTATAATATATTTAGGATATACATATATTAAAGTATTATTTATATGCAATTCAAATTTAAATAAGTGTTTAATAATTTTTAATATAAATATGTCCTAATTATTTTTTTCTTTTTTTTTAACTTTTATTTTAGGTCCAAGGGGTAAAACGGCAGGTTTGTTACTTAGGTAAATTTGTGTCATGGGGGTTCGTTGTACAAATTATTTCATCACCCAGGTATTAAGCCTAGAACTCATTAGTTATTTTTCCTGATCCTCTCCCTCCTCCCAGCCTCCACCCTAAAATCGATAACAGCAAATGCAAAAGAACTGAAGGCATAACAAACAGTCTCTTGGACCACATCCCAATCAAATTCAAAATCAAGACTAAGAAATTCACTCAAAACAATACAATTACATAGAAATTGAATAACCTGTTCCTAAACGACTTCTGGGTAAAAACAAAATTAGGGCAGAAATAAAGAAGTTCTTTGAAACTAATGAGAATAAAGATACAATGTATCAGAATCTCTGTCCTAAATATTTTATGGATATACTTATACTAAAAATTATTTGTTAATAATCTGAAATTAAAATTTAATTGAACCTCAAAGAGTTTCTGGAAAAGAAGCAAAACACTAATAAGCATGCACAGATTTGAGATGTTACATGCAAATTTACTTCAAGAAAAGTAGAACACTACAGGATTTCCAAAACTTGCTTTGGCCTGTTTGTAATTAAATGTGTTTGCGTTCATGCATATGTACGTACTGTCTCTTTAAATCACTGCTCAGTTCCCCAAACAACTTCGTATAAAAATAGATCAGATTCAGTTGGCATACGTTAAATATCTGCAATTATTTTTATAAAGAAAATGTTTTGTGTTGTAGGTTATATACACAGGTTCTAAAGGCAAAAGAATGTTGTGTACTGTTTACAAAGTCAAGCTGTTTGATGTTGCATGACACACTGTGACATTTTTGGGTCAGGCAGAAAAATCTGTATTTGCTCCTTGACATACTTTATTACATCCACAGTTCCAGGAGAAACCAATCATTTGGAACTTCAACTTGGCTTACAAAAAGAAAGAGGCTGGGTGCGGTGACTCACACCTGTAATCCCAGCACTTTGGGAGGCCAAGGTGGGTGGATCATTTGAGGTCAGGAGTTCCAGACAAGCCTGGCCAACATGCTGAAACTCTGCCTCTACTAAAAATGCAAAAATTAGCCAGGCATGGTGGTGGGCACCTGTAGTCCCAGCTACTTGGGAGGCTGAGGCAGGAGAATCACTTGAACCCAGGAGGCAGAGGGCGTGGTGAGCCGAGATCACGCCACTGCACTCCAGCCTGGGCAACAGAGTGAGAATCTGTCAAGAAAGAAAGAATGAAAGAGAGAGAGAGAGAGAAGGAGGGAAGGAAGGAAGGAAGGAAAGAAGGAAGGAAAGAGAGAGAAAGAAAGAGAGAAAGAGAAAGAAAGACAAAGGAAAAGAAAGAGAGAAATGTAATTCTGCCAAAAACTGGGAGAATAGGAGCAGTGTATAAGAATATAACTTATTTCTTTGAACTCTTCTGCTACACTGGAATCAACTTTCTGTACAAATTTGCACCAGAAATTCAAGAGCCTGAATTACCAATTATTGGTCAGAGTGTGTCCTCTCTGATTAGATTCAGATAACATATTCTAAAATATGCTTATTGTAAAAAAAAAGCTGGTACATTTAGATAAGGTATACATGAGATGTAGTTATTTAAATTATTTGTAGGAAACTGAAGCAGAGAGTCAAAGGATAGAGAAACTCACTTTTTGAAATTAATTCAGATAGAATTCTTGGAACTTGTTTAGCAGAATTGGCTCTAAGTGAGAGATGTCACAAATTCCATTGATACAACAGGTAATATCATTAAATTTGATTCATAAACCTAAACTTGAGTGAGTTCAAGGGCATCAGGGCTTAGTAACTGGCAAGCACATCCACTTCACTGGTAAAGTCCCTTCTGAGATGTTTAGCTTAGTTCAGATACTACTGGAAATGAAAACAGTTAATAGGGGTCAGATTAGCAGATAGTGCACAAGAAACTATACCCACAGAACTTCTCATGTCTAAAGGGAAAAAAGAAAGCACTGCTCACAGAAAAAAAAAAGTAGCCATTATGTGTAATTGGTTGATATTTATTTAGTTAAGAGTTTTGTGCTCTCAAAATATATTATTTCATATACACATTTACGGTGACCATACAATTTATCATCCAAACCTTGACACATTTTGCCCAGGACAAATGCTAAACCAAAGAGAACTCCTGGACAACGGGCGTACATTGGGAATGTAATGGACAAACTTTAACATATACACACTATGATTTGTATATACAATAAAAAATAAAAATAGAAAATTATTTAAATTCATATAATAAATCCATGAAGCAATCAAAATAATCATAGCTAACATTTTGATGTTTACTATATCCCAAAAGTTCATTTAATCTTGGCATTAATCTTATCAAGTAAGGAGCTATTACTATTTCCATTTTACAAATTGGTAAATTATGACCCAGAGAGGCTAAGAAATGTTGCTAGAGTCACAAAGCTACATAATGTAGAATGAAAATTTGAATCCACACAGCCTGGATACAGAGCTCATATTCTAAATGAAAACATATGCTAAAAGGGAATTAATTAAATTAAATAACTGAATGTTAAGTATAATAATATATTCAATCACATATAAGAACTAGATAATAAGAATTTAAAATTTAAATATATACTCATTTTTAAAGATAATGACTATATTATAGTCCCATTACAAATGTGGCAAGTCTTACCCTAAAAATAAGACACTCTAACTATAGACCACCCACCCAAACCAGATTCTTGAGCCCTACCGAAGCCTTAACTAAGGATTTCACTTGATTCTTATAATTAGTGTTTGAGAATGTTTCCTAAAAAATAGGAAACAAGAGTAAATTGGTGGTGTTGCATTTATGCTGTTGTTATGATTTTGTTTTTGTTTTTATAAGAACATAGAACTTACAATAACTAAGCACAAGCACTGACTTAGGATGACTATCTTTAAGTACTCAAAAACAACTACACTAGTTTAATCTCCGTTGATTAAAAATATTAACTTCTACCCACCAGCTCACTAGATGAGGTTTTCTTATAAAAACAATAATTATGAACAATATGTAATTTGGTACAGCATTGTTACAAAATAACCACCACTGACAACATAGAAGAAATTATTTTGATTATATTATCTGTATTTAAAAAACCGAAGTTGTAGTAGAAATGATTTTCTTTAACTGCATCTAGGAAAGTCAAAAATATGAGTTCTATTATCACTCAATATTATTCATGAGATTTTTTATTTTAAAATATTTTAAAATACATTTTTCATTCAATTAATTTAAAATTATCACAGCTAAGCACACTAAAACATAATGTCCTTATTCTTTTAAAAATATTTGCTTATACTTACCAGGCATTATTCTAGGCATGAGTTACAAGTCAGACAGCAAAATATTACAAGGAAACAAAAAAAATACTTTTCTCCTAGACTTTACTGTTTAGCAAGTCTTGTGCTTCCTTGGCCTTAAAGTATTTGACCATTTTTCAACAAACTTTCAGACATGCGAAGAAATAGTGTACCAATAAAATAAAATGCCTGCTCTTATCTAAGCACTAACCAGGTCATACCCTTCTTAGTTTCTGTCTTAGTCTGCTTGTGCTGCTGTAACAGAATACCTTAGACTGGATGATTTATAATTAATAGAAATTTATTTCTCATACTTCTGGGGCCTGGGAAGTCCAAGGTCAAGGAACTTTCAGATTCCATGTCTGTAAGGGCTTTCTCTCTGCTTCCAAGAGGGCACCTCATTGCTGCATCCTTACGTGGTAGCTGTGTCCTCACATGGCAGAAGAGCAAAAAGAAACAAACTTGCACCCTCAATTTCTTTTATAATCCCACCCATGACAGCAGAGTCCTAGTGGCCTAACTACCTCCCAAGGGCCCTGCCTCTTAATACCATCATCTTGAGGTTTAAGTTACAATATATGATTTTTGGAGGGACATATACATTCAAACTGTAGAAGCTTCCAAAATCAGAGAAGATTGAGCACATCCAAGATGATATGTTGGCAAGGATGTGAAGAAATAGGAACGCTTGTACACTACTTGGCAGGAATAAAAAATGGTGCAGCTGTATCAAAAAAATATGAAGATTCCTCAGAACATTAAAATTAGAACTACCATATTATACAGCAATTCAACTTCTGGGATATATCCGAAGGAATTGAAATCAGGATCTTGGAGCAACAACTGCACCCCATGTTCAATGCAGCACTATTCACAATAACAAAAATATGGAAACAACCCAAATGTCTAACATCAATAGATAAATAAAGAAAATATGGTATATTCATAAAATGGAATATTATTCAGCCTTTAAAAAAAGAAATTCTACCATTTGAAACAATATGGATAAACCTTTAGGACATTATGAGAAATAAAATAAACCAGTCACAGAATGACAAATAGTTCATGATTCCACTTATATGAGGTATCTAATATACTCAAACCCATAGAGGCAGAGAATAGAATTGTAGTTTCAAGGACCTGGGAGTAGAGGGAAAGGGTAAGTTGCTGTTCAATGTATATAAAGTTTCAATTATGCAAGATTAATAATTTATAGAGATATGTTGCACAACATACTATGCAGAGAGAACAATACTGTATTGTGCACTTAAAAAGTTGAGAGAGTGGGCCAGGCACGGTGGCTCATGCCTGTAATCCCAGCACTTTGGAAGGCTGAGGCAAGCGAATCACGAGGTCAGGAGATCGAGACCATCCTGGCCAACATGGTGAAACCCCGTCTCTACTAAAAGTAGAAAAATTAGCTGGGCGTGGTGGCGCATGCCTGTAATCCCAGCTACACGGGAGGCTGAGGCAGGAGAATCGCTTGAACCAGGGAGTCGGAGGTTGCAGTGAGCTGAGATCGCACCACTGCACTCCAGCCTGGCAACAGAGTGAGACTCTGTCTCAGGAAAAAAATAAAAATTAAGAAGGTAGATCCCATTGTTACAATAAGAACAAAAATGAGGCACATGGAAACTTTTGGAGGCGATGGATATGTCTGTTACCTTGGTTGTGGTGATTGTTTCATAAGTGTTTCTATATGTCCATCTTCAGCAAGTTTGGTGTGCCGTTTCTGTGCATCAATTATACTTCAATAAAGCAGTTTTTTTAAAAAAAAAAAAAGGATGAAAGAAGGGAAGAGGGGAGGGAAGGTGGTTACTGTTAGTTCCCAGGGAGAATACGAGAGAAAGTTAGGGTAGAAAAAGTGTAAACTGAACCACTAGAATAAGTTTCTGTAAGGTAGAGACAAAAGAAGAACCATCTTGTGTGAGGCAGGGGACACAGAGACTCAGATATCTTTGTGTCTAAAGACAGACAGAGGTGTGAATCACCTCCTTAATTTGAAGGGGCACCTAAGTTGATGATTAACTTAGCTCTCTTTATGCTATTCTGGTAGATCTTCCCAGCCTCCTTTCTCGGAAAGAGACCTCCAGTGAGAATGGGGTAAGCAAGCCCTTTAGTGAGAATTAGAAAGAAAGAGGAAGTGTGGTGAGTTTACTTTTTGGAATAAAAGCACAAAGCAGAAAACCAATGGGACACCCAGTTACTTTGTCAACAGTATGCCAAACACTAATTTTGGAAGATCCTGTTAAACTTGGTATAGTCCCTGAGTATTATTTTTATTCTCCATTGTCTGTTTCCCAGTTGTGATCATATAATAGTAAAACTCACCTAATGAAAGCACCTGCTTCCTTGTGTTTACAAGAAACAAGGCAAGGGTACAAAAAAAAAAAAAAAGAATGATTAAGACCTACTATTTGATAGCACAATAGGGTGACTATAGTCAATAATAACTTAATTTTGCATGTTAAAATAACTTAAAAGTGTAATTGGATTGTTTATAACTCAAAGGATAAATGTTGAGGGGACAGATACCCCATTCCCCATAATGTGCTTACTTCACATTGCATGCCTATATTAAAACATCTCATGTAACCCATAAATATATGCACCTACTATGTACCCACAAAAATCTTTATTTAAAAAAAAATTAAAAAAGTCAAGCCCAAGTAAACCAAATGATGGTATGGCAGTTTTAGAGGAGAGAGGAAAACAAATTTAGTCCTGCAAGCCCTGCTTATGCTGTAAAAAAGAAAAAAAAAAAAAAAAGAAGAAGAAACATACTAGGAGTTGGCTGAGTCTTAGACATGTACTTGAGGCCTAAGAGAAGAGATCTGTTCTGTGTGCACACAATTGACCTTTGTCACCAAAAAGGAAATAATGTTTCAGTCATTCATGGAGGTAAAAGAGTGGACAAATTGTGTTGAGGTGGACAATTGCATCATAAAAATGCATTTATTATTCTTCATTACCTAATACACTGTAAGTTCTTCAAGGGCAGAGATTGAGTCTCCACTTTTTTCTTCCTATGGCCCACCTTGGTAGCTGACACAAATTAATTACTCATAAATGTTGATACAAAATAAATGAGTGATTTAATTAATTACTTAAAATCCTTTATAAGTCTCAGGCTTACAGTTTTAGAAAAATAACAAACACAGAATTCTTATTAGGCACTAGAAAAATATGTGTCATGGAGGAATTGATATTTGATCTGAGTCTTGATCAACATAATGTGGAAAACGGGGAAAGAGATCTTTGAGGCAGAGATATTAGAATTTGCATGATGAAGAGTCATTTGGGGTGGCTTACATGTATGGGAGGAGACATAAGACACAAGGTATGTTAAGGCCCGACTATGAATAATCTTAAGTGTGATGTGAGAAAATTTGGATTTTAATCAATGGATCATGGGAAACCATAGAATGTTTATAAGAATGCAAGTGTGACTTGTGATCTGATTTGTCTTCTGGAAGGTTAGGTCTGGTACTAGTTTGTATGAAGGACCAAATGGGGACTAGAAAAGAATCAAGTTATGAAGCTATTGCAATGGTTCAGGAAAGCAATAAAATAAAATATGGACAAAGATAAATAAGGCACAAATGTATAATATATTTAAACATGTAATTCCAAAGACTTCTGATGGATATGAGTTGGAGGATATAAGAGAGAGAAGACTCATGGATGAATCCAAGGTTTCTAGCTAGGGAAGTTGTAAAGCTCTCTTTATTAATAAAATCAAAAAGAGATGGAAGATTCGGCAGGAAAGGCCAGATATCAGTATGGGACTTTCTGAGTTTGAAGTGCCTGCAGATATTTTTATGAAGATGTTCATAAAACATCTAGGAAATTAGATATTGATATCTGCAACTCTGGGAAAGACTTGTGATTTGAGGCATGGATTTCAGATTTATCAACGAAGAATTAGAAGATGAGCCCAGGATAAGTAGCTCATCCTGTAAAAGTAGGTAGAACTGGAGGGGGAAAAGGCTGAAATTGAAATCCAGAAAAGTCGACATTCAAGTAGCAAGAGTTGAGGAGGAAACAGAGAATATTCAGGTAGTCAGGAAGAGAGACAGGAGAGAGCTTCTCATAGAACTCAAAGGAAGTCAAATTTCAATGAATGATTGAACCAGATAACAAATAAGATGACTGAAAAAAATTACCACTTGACTGGATAATTTGGAAAAATCTGATGACCTTATTGCAGCATATTGAATTGGGAAACCAGAGTACAAAAGCTGGAAGAAAAAAAAAACTGTAAAGGGAAAATGGTACATCACTGGCAGTTAGCAGTGAAGGAAAGAGCACGATAGAGCTTACGGCTTGAAAAAGTGCCAGAATCAAGAAAATGCTCTGTCTCTGGGAAGTTCTGCTTTCTGTTCCCTGATCAGGGACCAGAGAGGGGCAAAATCTTCCTTTGATCCTAACTCCCTATTTTTTATTTTTCCTCTCTCTTGATCCCCTTGTCTACTTTTCAGATTTAGCCTCACCTTGTAAGTGCTTCCTTTCTGAGGTGTAGGTAAGAAAGATTGAGATTCCATCCGCACGAGACAAACCCAGCAGTTCGGAGCAGTCAAGACAGGTTTGACGGTTTACGGGTTGAGGGGAGATAGATGTGCCAGCTACTGAGGAAACTATGTTTTCCCATTATACCAAAATAGGAACATCCCTCTTAAATTCAAAAGAGCCACTAAACTTCACAGAACTCTTCACCCAAACATTCAGCAAGCCTAAAGCACTTCCATTTTTCTTAATTTGACTTATTTTTACCTCTATATGTCTTTCTTTATTTCCAAGTGATTTTCTTGGCTTCTATCTTCCTGTTGGGTATTTCCCAAATGTTTTGAAAATTCCAACTGACATTGTAAACTTTTTTACTGAGTTGAAAAACTTTATTATGGGGCCTTCTCTCCCTAACCCCCATTTTCAAATGTAAACCAAGTTGGTTTAATTCTAGAGGCCATATGTAATATTTATGAAACCATAAGAATTGTCTAGGAGGGGAAGGGTATAATTTAAATACTAGTTTAGACCATATTCAGCCTTATATAAGTCTTATGAAATACATAGTTAATCTAATTTATAAGCTACAGTTTACGAAAATACACAGCACATTTGGTGCTTATTTCAAAATGGCTCTTTTTTAAAAAAAAAAAAAGTATTGTCAGTTACTAAAGTGAAACTATTCTTTTTTTCAGTGTCACTGCCCCATTTTATATTTTTTTAAAATCACTTGCTTTTATATTAATGTAAATCAACCAATGCCTGTCTCAGGAAAGATTCCATATGGTTCAGTCCAAAACCACTCTCTGCCAAACACATGGAGGTGTCTCACCCACTGGAGAAACTGACAAATGTAAACTCATGAAAATAGAAGGGCCTTTGTTCTCTTGTTCCTCGTGGGCTGCCTTTCAACCTGCCCATGGCCCCACGGCAGGCGCTTATCCAAGGCAGGAAGTATTCTGTCTGAGTATCTTTGAGCTTTGCTCTTGTTCCAATTCCAGAAAACCACAGATTCGTTTATTTGCAATATTTCCAAAAATTTAAATGGCCTAAGGAAATGAGTTAGATGGAGCAGTTAGTAATTTGTCCCTTTAAATTCCCAGTGTTTGTTTCCTGAAGATTTAACAATTTCAGTGTGCCTTTCTAGAGAATTAGTAAGCCAAAATAAACATCAAAATTCTTAAGCTGTGATTTCTGATTTCTTGTTGAATAGCACCACCTCATGGTTATTCTCCTTTCTTAATTATTACAAGAGATGGCTGGCAATATTTGATTTCCCATTCTTACATGTTTTACTTTATAGCCATGACTAAAACTAAAATATGTTCAAATATAGTTTAAATAAACTCGTTTTTCTGGTGCAGCTATTTCTATTTACCCACCACCTCATCATTTGCCCCTGAAGTTTCATTTTCCTACTCCTTTGAACACCTAGCACATCATTTTCTGTATAATGAATGCTGTATGGATGTGTGTTAAATGAATCAGTCTTTGTCAGTCTCACTATTTCTACTACCATCTATATAATGATGGGTTTTAATTTAGTTTTCTTCTTAATCCATTCTAAAATTCAGTATCACTCATGCAAATATATGTAACTGAATGTCAAATAATTTCTTAAAACATAATACATAAACAAAATTTCTCATCTTTTCTTTTTATAAAAGTCTGTAGCATTATTACTTTTGAAATCCTATTTAGAATCTTACAGACAACCTGATTCTTTGTCTTTCCTTATTTCAAATTATAATATTGTCCTTTCTATACCATATCTTTCCTTTCTTTTTCCTCCTCAGCTAAATCTTTGGTTCAATTTTTGTCAAAGTTATGCTGAAGTTACAGCTATTTTACCAGCCACCTCTTTTTAAGCAGATCCTTCTCAGCTTTATTTCAAAACTCATGCTTTTCTGCTGAATTCAAAAATTAAAATTAAAGAATACTATAAAAGTTCCATTTGAAACCATTGGCATCATTATTCTTTCCATTAAAGCACTCCCCCAAATAAAGATAAATATTTAGGTATAAGGATATTCAATATCACTTATTTATAACACTGTAAGACTGGAAACAAAGTAAATGTCCAACTGACAAGGAGATAAATGCCTCTACTAGCAGAAGTGGATAAATTATTGTACATTCATGCAATGGAATGTTAAGCAATCATTAAGAATATTGTGTTTAAGCAAAAATTGGTATTAAATGAAAAGAGCAAAATTTTTAAAAAAACATCAATACAATCTTTTTTTTTTTTTTTTTTTTTTGAGATACGGTCTCAGTGTCACTAGGCTGGTGTGCATGCAGTGATTTGATCATGGCTTATTGTAGCCTTGATCTCCCAGACTCAAGCAATTCTCCTGCCTTGGCCTCCTAAAGTGCTGGGATTACAAGCATGAGCCACCTCACCCGGCCACAGTCATATTTTTTAAAAATATATGTGCAAAGGCCAGAAAAAAATATGCAAAATGCACACCAGATTTGTTGTTAATAATAGGTCTTTTTTGTATTTTTCTAACCTCTTCCTATATTGTGCTGATTTTATTAGAAAGGATGAATTAATTATACAATAAAATTATAAATGTACTTAATTCTTCTTGCTCTATCCAAATTAGCATTTAATTCTGAGTTATAACTCATCAGTTCATGTAAATTTTAAAATTTTAATTTTAAATATTTCTTTTCCTTTCTCAAAAGAGACAGCTACTCTAAAGCACCTTAAAATAGGAGACTCCATCATGTAAGGCACTTAATGAAATATTTAAAATAAAAATGTACATGTGATTAGTTGTCAAGCTCAGGTAAGTTCCCTTAAACAAATTCAACCCATAGTCAGAGAGTTTCATATAAGAAAATGAGTTGAAGAATTCTCTCATCTTCATAACTACAAACCACTCTGGTAAATTGTCCACTTGGAATGGAAGTTGATCAAAAGCTTATAATGGAAAAATATGGTGGCAAGTGTATCTTACCAATCCTTTTCCAATGGCTGTTTATTTAGATACACAAGGCAGTCTGATCTCAGTGAATGGAGGTAATGGTCACAGACCCAGCCGCCTCATGTATTCCATATACAGCTTCTCACTTCAGTGCCTTGCACTGCCACCGACAAAGCTGTGGTGATTACAACATCAATAGTGGTGAAGAAAGGGGAAGATGAAAGGAAAAACATGGAAAAAAGAAAAGAAGGGGACTTAGTAAAAACAATATAGTAATGTATGTATTAAGCGCTTCTCTTATGCTGGGCTCTGTGCTCAGCTCTTCTCATACCTTGCCACACTTTATTTTATTTATTTATTTAGAGACGGAGTTTTCACTCTTGTTGCCCACGCTGGAGTGCAATGGAGCAATCTTGGCTCACTGCAACCTCTACCTCCCAGGTTCAAGCTATTCTCCTGCCTCAGCCTCCCAAGTAGCTGAGATTACAGGCATGCGCCACCATGCTCAGCTAATTTTTTGTATTTAGTAGAGATGTGGTTTCACCATGTTGATTAAGCTGGTCTCAAACTCCTGACCTCAAGTGATCCACCCACCTCGGCCTCCCAAAGTGCTAGGATTACAGGCGTGAGCCACCGTGCCCAATCCATACTTTATTTTCACAGTGACTTTAGGAGGCAGTGCACTATCATCATCTCTGTTTACTGATAAGGACACTGAGATTTATGAAAGGTTGCCTACTATCAGTAGGGGGCAGATTTGTTGCTTCAAAACCATGCTCAACCACTCTTCTGACAGTCGGCCATGGACTATGAAACGTATTTCAGGTATGTCCTTGTGAGAGGGATAAGAATAAAAGAAGGAGTGCAGAGATTTGATTGGATCCATGTACAGCAAATAAATTTTACCTTATTATTGGAATCTCAAATGCAGACTCTAGATGTCCTCAGAGAAGAAAGAAAGAAAGAATTTTAGTCATGTGACTAAAATTGTGCAAGAGAACAACAGGCGTGAAAGTGTAAGCAAATGCCAGAGCCTGGCTCTATTTAGTTTTCATTGACTCTCAAGAATACCTTTTATTACGAGATTTCTCAAAATGAAACTGTACCAATGTTCACAATTCTAATGCTTCTTCTTCATTTTCTTCCTGTTCTCATTTTGACACCATTGTGTCTTCTGTGGTACTGAGAGAAGGGAAGGAGTTTTAATTTGCTCCAGAAACAGAGTTCTTGAGTCTTCAATGGAGTAGAGGAAGAGAAACACTAAAGGAGGTCAGGAGAGAGGATAGGAACTTTCTCATGTGCCCCGATCAACCAGCCCTACATTCCCCAATATGCCAATGACCATCTCACCTCTCCTGCTGGCATCCAGTTCTCAGTCCAGAAACTCCATCTTTCCTACCACTGCAGAGTCCTTGCTCTTGTGGCCAAGTGAGTGGGCAATGAGACTAGAGAGAATTCTTGCTGGACATAGGTGTTTTCTGAGATCCATAATGTTGGTGTATTTGATTAGAAATTTTAAGTGTGGTATTTTTGTATATTTGGGGGATATGTTCTCAAAATAATCTCTGTGTCTCTTTGGCCAGGAAGCATAACCACAGTGAAGGTAATAATAACACACCATGCGAAGGGATTGGTTTACTTTATTGAAAAAAAGGCCAATTTAAATCCAACTCTAAGTTTTAGTGCACAATAATCTATTTCTTAAACTTGAAGGAATTTCCACATGGTAATTTTAAAATGGAAAGAAAGAGTAAAAATGACTGTTTATATAACCAAATCTATAAACTATTCTACAAAACCAGTGTATCAAACAGATTTAAAATTAAAAGCTGCAGGAGGCTGTAAATTAGCCACAATGCTAGCATGTTCTGCCACCCAGATAAACAAACTTTCAAAAAAAGAAGACTTCACAAAACTCAACTCTATAAATTTAATAGAATTACAAAAAAAAACCAATAATTCTTAGAAATAGCAGCTCACCATACCCTTCTACAACTTCATAGAAAGATTTATTTTGATAATTTGAAGCTGTTTACATTTCAAAATAAAGTGTTTTATCATTCTGACCTTTAAAATGTAAAACTTGACATAAAATTCTATTCTTATTGGTTATCTTTTTACTTAGAAATCTTAGATTAAAATGAAATTATAGTTACATGTTCACGTGTGTCTTTTTCCTCATTAGGCTGTAAGAAATTTGAGGAGAAAAAAATCATTATTTATTTATGTTTGCATGTTTCTAGGAACATTAATACAGTAATTTACACATTGTAACTGTTAAAATGTCTTATAAAATACTTATTTTTTCAGTAAATTTAAGACTACTTCAATGAAAATCAAAATATATGGAAGAATTCAAATGTAAAGAATTATTCTGAAATCTTTTGAAACATATAGTCTGTGTTACAAAAGGAGATTGAATTTCATGAAAAAGTATTTATAGGTTAATTGGCAATATTCAAATGTCAGGTGATAGTGTTGGTGAGTATATAAGTAGCAATCCCACACAATTTATGTGTGGATAGGTAACTAAGTACTTAACTGTTCAAGAATAAGCAAAACCCCTCTCTAACCTTCAATACAGACTAATGGAGTTGGCGATAATTTTAAGAATAAGCAGACTTCTTGACTTGCAGGGAAAGAGAAAATTTTTAGTTTGAATCATGAAACAGATTGCTGAATTAGCCCAGTTTATGCATTTTGGAGAATAGGGATTAGAAGAAAATTGGAACAAAAAAGAGAATAGATTCCTTTAGATGACAAGGAGAAGGAGCATAACAGGTAAAGATTCCACTCAAACAGCTGCTCAGGCATCTAGACCCAAAGTCACAAAATACGTATCACTATAAGCCTGACACTATACAGTTTTTTAATGAAGTTACATATTTAATCCTCAAAGTCTCATGAATTAGACTTTATTAATCTGTCCCTTTTACAGATGATGGAGTTGAATCTTAGGTTAAATAACTTGCCCAAGCTCATGAATCTGAAACAAAATACACATCCATATAAAATCTATTCTCTCTTGATTCATTACCACCAAGAGAAAAGTTACAATGAAGAGGATGTTTCAGAGTAGGATAATTACTGTGTTCCTAAGAGGTAGCCCCAGCAATCTTCAGTTTGTATTATAGAAACAAACATGGGGAACCTGTACATCTACCACCCAGTTTATAACTGTAGTGACATTAGAAATGGATACCATCATTCATGTTTGAATATTTGTCAGATGTGAAATTCAATACCAGTACTTAAAATTTGCAGATTTATAGTTATTCTCAATAGCTTTTTGTCCTTTTTAAATTTCAATTTTATTTTAGTGATATTTTTTCATAACTTCATTAGCACAATTTACCCTCCAAAGTACAGACAAAGAACTCTAAGTTTTAAGACCCAAAGTGACCAAAGTGAATGAATCAATAAAAACATTAACTTGGATACTATTGGCAGTGGATAAGAACAGTTTAGAATTTGGAAGACAAGGTCTTTATATTGGGAAAGACAAGCCCTCAGTAATGGAAGACAGAGAAAAGAAGAGAATTAATTTATAGTCACTTAGTAATTCATTTTATATATATTAATTTCCATTATGTGCCAGGAACTATGCTAAGAATCATTCATACAAATATGAAAAAGACAAGACTTCTGCCCTTACATAGCTCCTGATCTAGAGGAGGAAACCAGGTTTTCTTATAATTCGGTGGAGTTGTGGGGCTCAGAGGAGGGAGAACCAAATCAGCAACTGGTGAGGTTTGGGTTAAGGGTGTCAAGACTGGCTGCCCAGAACAGCAGATTCTAAACTTCAGTATTTAAAAATGAGTAGGAATTGTTATACCAAGTAATAACAGTAAGATCATAAATAATAATGAAATTATGCCAAAAATGAGAAAATGTCATTGACTCAAAAACAAAAAAGGCATTCCTAATTGCTAGAGGTAAAAGTGTGATTGGGAAATTAGAGAAAAGGCAAAAACTACAGAGTCAGAAAGGGACAGATCATAACTGTCCTAATATCCTTCATCAGTGATTTTGGAACTTTATACTTAAGGAGATAGGGCGATAGTAAAGAATTTTAGTGAAGCTTATGATCATATCATATTTTAGAAATGTCACTCTAAAATAATATTTTCATGAGTTTATAAAACAACAAGGAGAATGCTTTGACATCATGTTAAGTAAAATGGTAAAGTAAAATGTGCATATATAAATTATAAATATGATGTTTTCCATATTGTCAAAAACAAAAGTCAAAAAAGATTGAACAAAAAGAAAATACATCAAAATAATGAGTGATTTTAGGTGGTAGGATTATGGTTAAATTAATTCAATAAACACGTATTATGTATATTTAAATTTCATTTCTAAAAGATTTAAAGCTTCACTGCTCTCTTTGTAAAGAGCTGAAAACTAGTGTTATGTCTCTTTTATTTTATTGTAAATATGTGTTAAAATTTAATTGCTACTCTAGAATAATGTATCTTAAAAAGTAGTCCTTATTCACTACAAATTCACAGTGAATTTAGTGTTGTGTTTGAAACTTGAAGTTCCTATTCCCAATGTTGTTTTCCTTCAAAAGACACAGGAATTGGACTAGCATCATTATTTCTGGAGAAAGACAAGTATGGTTTATAGAACTAAAAGGCCATGCTCAAGCTAACGTAGGTTTATTTCCAGATGTCTGTTCTCTAACAAATTGCTTAATATTCCTGGAAAAGGGTGATCATAATGATGGCCCACAGATGTGTGGAGGTTGTACTGGGTGTGGTAACAGAAACAGGATGTGTGGCCAAACTTTAGCTCAATTAATTGTAGTTAATTATATACCATTAACACTCACATCTGAAAAATGGTTGAAAGCACAGATGTCATTCTTACATACTTGGAGAATTTTTCCCCCAGGTTCATCATCCTCTAAATGTGGTTTAGACTATTTTTCCCCAAGGATGTTTTCTAGTATGTCAAGATTTAAGTGTCTCTGCTTCTTTTCTGCCCATTTATGTGAGCTTGTAAGATCTTTCAGTGGCGATTCCACCATACTTCCATTTCCTTGCCTGAAACCGGTGACTCACCTGAAATTTTGCAAATTGTATCCCAAACATAATATCCATAAATATCCATGGCAATTTATGGATATAAGGAAGTTAGGAAATTCCTTGACTATATGGCTGTTTGTTCTATGTCCACATGTGCATACTACACCGGAGCTAGTCTTGACAAATTTCTAGAGTGGTCACAATTCTGATGTTTAATTTTTAAGCATTCATGACAAAGAAGAAAGAAAAAAATATTTGTTTATATGAATCATTCTTCTGTCCCATACTTACCTATGATGTCTGGTCTCATTCAGAATTAAAGGCAAAGCACATGTATCTACAAGGCAGTGTAGTCTCATGCTCCATACCCTCACTGGCTTCAGTTTCTATGGCTCTCCCTCTTAGCTTGGTTCCAGATACACTGACCATCTTGTTATCTCTTGTACGTGTCAGGGCTTTGCAGTTGCTATTTCCTTCTTTCTGCAGCACTCTTCCCTAGATCCCTACATGGCTCACTCCCTTGTCTCCTTTAAGTCTATGGTTAAATGTTAACTTATAAGTGAGTTCCTCCCTGCCTATCTAATTTAAAATAGTAACTATCCCCACCAATTCTCCCAAGTATCCCCCTTCTCATGTTCACTTTTCTTACTGAACTTGTAACATCTGACATACTACATATTTTATGTGTTTGTTTATTTTCTTTCTTATTTAACTAGAATACAAACTCCATAAGAGCAGGGATTTGTGTGGGTTTTTCTCATTGCTATATAGCCAGCATCTAGAACTATGTCATCACATACTATATGCTCAATAAATTGTTATGGCAAAAATACATTAATCAATTTAAGTTAGGGATGTTATTTCAAAAAGCAGTACTTGTTAAACCAGAATAAACTGGGTTTAATTGGAAAAAATAAATAGTACATTTATTTATAGTAAAAATGTTATTTGTGATATCTCAGAGTAAACAGGGTCTCTCAATTATGAGAATAATTCATAAGGAAGAAGAAAGGTAGAATTGGAAACCAATAGAAAACACTTCAATGTAACAAAACTAGTTAGTATAGGAAGTACCAGCTCAAACCTGGGCAGTAGAAGTTGTTGTCAGCAAAATTTGGTTTCAGGATTTTATTATTCAAGGCTTCAGGGAGTAGGAGCAGGCAGTATTTTTCCTTCTAGTTAGAGGACTGTAGGCCAGTGACCATAAATATCACCATTCTACTACCAATTTGGAACAGATAAACATAAATAGGATATATTTGACCCAGTTTGTCAAAAACTGCATTCTGTCTATATGAAGCAAATTAAAGAAAGGCATATGATTGCGGAGATCAATGCTATCTGAAACTAAGCAATTCTAACTATTGTCTAAGAATTGGAGTGCAATGCTATCATAGAGGCATTGCAAAGCTCAGGATGGTAGTTATTTCCAGGGTCATGACCCATGATTCCATGAAATGGAAATGCCACCCCTTAGCTAGGATTGTGAGAATGGGAACTTTTAAAGCACTAAGCACACCAAAAAGCCATCCTCAATGATATGGAAAGTAAGGCTTTTCTGGAAATGTTCTGGCGACAAGTGAGATTGCAGAAAATTTCAAGAGGAATGGGGCTTTCTAGATCCTATGAGCAAATATGCTTGGTTGACTATAGAGTTCTCTTTCCTTTTATAGAGGGGCTAGGGAAACAGGCAAATTTCTAGGTGGAGTATCATGCCAAGCACAGGCAGTACATGACTTTAAAGGGGAGTTGATACAGGGTCAACTTACTGTTCTCTGGATCCCATCGTAGGGAACAGGAATGGGAAGAAATATTATTTTAATGGAAACAGGAGCATACCATTCTCAAAGAGACAAAACCTTGGCAATGAGCACTGTCTTTCAAGACTATAAATCAGAGACTGAAGCCTCAGGATAGAGAATAATGTTGATACTCTCACCACACCCATTTCCTCATGCTTCAGAGACAGCTGTTCATTCTCATTCCCCAATTACGCAAATTTTTAAGTGATTTCTTCCAGTTTTGGAGAGCTCCGCCTGAAACAGTTTCTCATACTAGATTTGCATGTCATAGGGATTGAGTAGCCTGAAAGAGTGTCCATAAGATATTAGATGATATGTTTTTATCTTTTCCAGAACATGACCTGTGGAAAGAGTTTATGGGCAACTTTCTTTTCCAGCTACAGAAAATATTTTGCTGAAGGAAAGGTGTAACCTAATGAAAATATTGATTTTGAAAATATAATATGGTTTGCAACTACTTAAGTCATCCTTGGTATAAGCATTTACCGAGATAAATGGTCCTTTGTTTCTAGGAAATTATCTTGATGGGCCACAAGAGACTTTTTTATTTTACAAGATAATGGGGGCTCCCATGATAATCTAGATAGATAAATCCTAGTGTGGGAAATTGACTGAAATCTCTCTTGCGAAATAGAGTAACAGGAATTTTTTAATTATTTACTAATAACTACAAAATGTTAGTTGGCAAATGGGGTGAGAACCCTGGAAAAAGAAAGGGAATCAATCTTCACAGACAGTTGGACAGACCTTTGCTTTCCAACATGATAGCCACTAGTCACGTGACTAAATTTACATTCAAATAAAATTTAAAATTTAGTTCCTCAGCCTCGCTAACCACATGTGAAGTGCTCAATAGCCACATGTGTCCAGTGGCTACTGTATTGAACAGTGCGGAAAGTTTTGTTAAACAACTCTGGTCTAGAGAGATATGACTCTCAGGAACATGGTTTTAGGAAGGGCAGATAATTGTTTTCTCGCTGTAAGGAAGTTCTATTTTTTGTGAGTTGTCAACAGAAATGTGTTTTGCCCAGAATTTCAGTCATTAATATTAATGGTACTTTGGAGAATGGAGAAAGAGAAGCAAAGTTCCAAAGTTGGGGGGACTAGCCACAAAGTAAACAGAAGCCTGATGTTCAGCAGGAGACATGACAATGAGTGCTGGAGATGACAGTAAAGAAGCAAACTTCAAGCAACCTCGATTTTTTTTCAAATGTTTTAGGGAAAGTTAGCCCTCAAAAGAATGAAGTGGATTGAAGCTAGGTAGTGCTATTTTATAAAAAGAAATTTGAGCCATTTTATTTAAATGTTAGAATAAATGGTAGCTCCAAAAACTGGAGGACTTGTTGATTTCCAAGAGGCAGACATTTTGCTTACCCTCATATAAGTATCAAATACTTTTTGAAGTAAGGACGTGGACTGTTGACTTCCTGGTTGTAGCCCCAGAGATGTAAGTGCTTTACTGCAGGGAAGTAAACCAAGGGTGTTTACTTCAGTTCATTATAGATGAGAGGATTTTTTTTCTAAGACTAACGTTTAGCCTTTCCTAAGATAATTTCACATCAAAGATATACATAGCAGAAGACTGACCTGGCTTGGACTGCCCCTCTCAGGCTTATCAAAACTCTCCACAAAAGATGGAAAGTTGTACCTATAATATCTGCGTGGACTTTTCACTGAATCTACTATTATTTTTCCAAATGAAAAAACCATAATTACCCTATATTGCCTCCCTGTTTAGAGAAAGAAAAAATTGAAAGGGACTTATTTATTTCTAGCAAGAATGACCCAAATTCTTGTTTTCCAGAACTGTATGGTTTGAGAAACAATATTATACTTATATTGGAGTGTACCCTCCATTTCATTCACTAAATAGCAGATTTCTTGAAGAGAAACAACTGCTATCCTTCACAATGCCTAGAAAAGAGCATTTGATAATGAATATTTACTAATTACATCCCAAGTTAGTGCAAAGATCAAGAGCTACACTCTGTATATATTGAGTCCTTGAAATATTGCTAATCCAAATCTTCATGTGTTTTAAGGATAAGATATACACCAGATTTTGAATCAAATATCTCAATAATTTTTATATTGGTTACATGAAATAATAATTTTGATGTTGTTTTAAAAGGTATATTAAAATTAATTTCCCACTTCTTTTTATGCTTTCTAATAAGGTACTAGAACACTTATTAATTCTATATGTGGATTACTTTATATATCTCTTGACCAGTGCTGATTTAGAAAAGTCATGCAAGGGAAAGAGCCTTGAAAGTAAACGCGAAGTTAAATAATAAAACAGACACAGAGCAGAAATGTAACACAAATAGAGAGAAACTGTTTTGGGGCATCAATGGAAAGGCATTGAAAGTACACAAAAAAAGTCTTCATTATTACAATTGTTTAAAACCCTGCATCCGAAATCTGAACTTTAATTTACTACATGCAGAATGAAATAAGACAAAAGTAAGTAGATGCTTGAGAAAGAAAACTACATGTATCTGGAACTAGTCATAACAGATATATTTATCTCAGCCACTCCAGGTTAATAGTTTCACCAAATAATAAAGAAGAATAGGAAGTTAAAGAGTCTGAAATCCATTTATATTACTTTCAGTTTATTCTGTAATAGGAAATTTCGTAACAAAGCTTCAGTCAACCAACTCTCTAGATTAGACTACACTCTCACTTCCTTTATAAAGCACAATGACTAATGCCCAAAGTATGCTGAATGCTTCAGCAGCAAAGACCAGATTAAGCCTATTGCCACCCCACCCATGACTCCTCTCTCAGATGGTCCCAAATTTACCACCCTTATGTTGAAGCAAGAAGGACAGACAGAGCACAGAGGCCAGTTAATAAAAATTTCGACTTTCCAAGCTTATGAGTCATGTCTAGATCTTCGGCAGTGGTTACCACTACATGGCAATAACCAGAAGCAAATAGATCAGAGCTAGAGTTTTTAGGAAATCGAGCGATGGCAAAATGACCTTGGAGTCTTTTTAGCCATGAAATTCCCATGACTTTTTGAACCTTAGAGCAATCCCTGAAACCCCAAATCCCTCGCACCAGCAACAAGGAGACCACAAAGTCTGTGTGACAACAAACAAAAAGCACACGATTCGTCACCCACTTCCTAAAAAAATAATTAACAAGACATAAGGCTCAGGGCCATGGAGAACCATAAACAGGGCTATTCTCCCAGGGAACAAAACCTGAACGTCCAGCTAGACTGACCAAGATATTTACTCAATTGCCCTGAGAGTTTGCCTTCTCAATTTCCATGTGTTTTCCACTTTTCCCTGTTCTGTATGGAAATTTCTATTATACTGTATAGTTTGAGAAACAATATTATAATGACAGCGTGTACCCCTTATTTCATTCACTGAATAGCAGATTTCTTGAAGAGAAACAATTTCTATCCTTCACAATGCCTAGAAAAGTGGACCTACTCTAATTCACCATTGTATAATACATGCAAGGGAAGAAGTATAACTGGCCTTTTAGTTTATAGGTCAGCAGAACACAATGAATCGTCACCTTTAGACTAGTTGAAAAGGACTGAACATCACTCAGAGACCTTGGACTTGAATGAAGGAACTGGATGGGATTTGGTGGATGTCTTCATTAGGGATAGAGTGTTTTATGTATAGAAAAGGGAATTTATGTGCAGGAATAAGTAGATATTTGGATGAACAAAAACAGACACATGCTTAATATTTGCAGGGCCTGAGGCAAGAATACAAACAGAGGCATAATATCAAGATTTTCTTTAAAAGCTATTAAATGGAAAATGTTTGTCATAGATGGTTTCTCAAATGGCCATCCCTCCCATCTTGCATGGCTTTTTGCAATGTAACTTTGCCACTCCTCCCATTAAGTGGTTAAACTTATTTGCCCTCTTTTTTATCTGGGCTGATTCTATGACTTACTTTGGGCAATAGAATATGGTAGAAGTGTGATTTCTGTGACTAGGCTTTAAGAAGTCCTGCAACTTCCTATTTTTACCCATAATGGAAGCCCACTGCCATGCAAAAAAACCCATAGTGAACTCTTTGATGATAAGAAAACACATGGAAAGAGAGGCAATGTAGAGATGACCACAGACACCATAATTGGCAGACAGCATCAAAGTTCCAAACACATGAATGAAGCCTCCTTCCATCCTCCAGCCTCAGCCTACAACTTAAGGAACAGTTTCCACAGGGACAATAAAATGATTGATGTCTTAAACCACAAAGTTTTGGTGTAGTTTGCTATATAGCCACAGATAAATGATACCATCTTCCTACGTTGGCAAATATACCTACAATGAGCTGAAAGGCCAAATTCAATTTTATACATTTCAAGCTTTTCTGAATTCTCCATCAGAAGTTTCCAGTGCTGGGAAACATGGTTCATATATTCTATTCTCTTCCCACCTTCGGCTCTGTGGATACTATAAGGGACCTCAAACATATGTGTGAGAATGCCCATCCTGCTCACCCAACCTCTATTCATACTCCTGAAGTACATGTAGCTCACCATCCAGAGGACCCAAGAGGCACTGGATACAGGCCCAGGGCTGATCAGACAGGGAGTTTTAGACTTTTGAGTCAGGTTAAAAGGAGGGCATGGATTCTGGTTAGACAAGACCCCTTGGCTCTGTGGGATCCCCACCACACATAGAGAGGCATAACCAGAGAAGTTCAGAGCAAAACCTACTAAAGCATTTGCCTGGTTTAATAGATCTGAATAAATCAGAGACTGCTCAATGTTCCTCAATATCTATTCTCCCCTTCTGATATAACAATAAACATTTTAGTGAGCACATGGTCATCTAGCTACAGGCTACATTTCCAAGCTTCCTTTGCAGATAGGTATGACAGTGTGACTAAGTGTTCTGAGGTGATGTGTGCAAATTATGGATCATACCATTAAAGTGGAAGAGCCTATTATTCCTTCCTCTTTCCCCTTTTGCTGCTGGCTGGTGTATGAATGTAATGGCAGGAATGGCAGCAGTCATTTTGTAACATTAGTTGGATGACTAGAGCAACTAGTTAGCTGTAGGTTCTATCCCTAATTATTGTTGAGCTATCATTAAAAATACAAGTCCTAAAAATATCTAACCAGGGTCGGGCACAGTGGTTCATACCTGTAATCTCATCACTTTGGGAGACCGAGGTGGGTGGATCACCTGAGGTCAGGAGTTCAAGACCAGCCTGACCAACATGGTGAAACCCCATCTCTTCTCAAATACAAAAAAAGTAGCCAGGCATGATGGCAAGTGCCTGTAATCTCAGCTACTCAGGAGGCTGAGGCAGGAGAATCGCTTGAACCCAGGAGGCGGAGGTTGCTGTTAGCTGAAATCCCGCCATTGCATTCCACCCTGGGCAACAAGAGTGAAACTCCTTCTCAAAAAAAAAAAAAAGAAATATGTATATATATGTCTCTCTCCAGATTTTTCTGTCACAGAGATAAAAATTCTTTCTTCTCTAGGCCAATGTTATTTTAGCTTAAATCTATATCCTACTGTGGAATTATCTTTATAATTATATAATTTGATAAATTTTTCATTAAATTGAAAAATGTGAATATGAAAGAAAGTCATTGTTTCTTTCATACTCACATTTCATACTCACATGCAAATTAAGGTAAATGCTTTGGAAAGGCTTCAGAAAGTCTAAGACAAAAAAAGAAGCCATTGAACTGAGAGTAAAACTATTATAAAAATAATGGGAGATGAGGGAATCATGAAAATATATGATGATTCTGCACTCAGCTTCACAAGTACCTGGAAGGTTTTTCTACACATTAAAGACACTGAAACTAGAAATTTTTAAAAGATATATTACAGGTATGCTTATTCAAGAAAGAAGAGGCAGAACTCCAAACAGTGGACATACACTCACAGAAAAGGGCTTCAGTTTACAGCTAAGGATTGGCTAATGCAAACATATGTGTATGCTTTAAGTTAAAAAAGTGTGTAAGGTAATCCTGATTTTAAAAAAGCTTTTGATTAACCAAAGATCTATAGGGCCCAAACACAAGGGAAGGCTTTATTGTACACAATTTCACTTGTGGAAATGGCATAAAAAATACATACATTCTTATTTCAGACTGTGGATTCAATCACTCTAAAGCAACTGTTTTAGGATCTTCATACAACCTCAGACACTTCTAATTATAGATTTCTGCTTGGGGTGAGGTAGACTACCATTTCAGTCAACTTAGTCAAAATATTGGTACTCAGAACCCTTTCTAAGTTTTGTTTTTGTTTTTTTAAACTAAGGCTGCTTTCTGTTTGTGAAATGCCCAGGTGATAAATCCTATTTTACTTACCTGTTTTGTTACATAGCCCTAGTTTGACGTATTTATTACCATATACTAGAAACTGAGCTGCCTCTCTGTTTAAAAGTTTGGGAGAAAAAAAGCTCTAGGAAAAAATAAAAACATTTTTGACTTGGGAAATAATTTCTTTCAAAATGAAAGCTGCCTTTTTTCTAAGGGCCAAAGAAGTCTTCCAAAGATGTGTTTTGAAATAATTTTCTGTTTTTTTCTTATAGGTTATTTTTGCTATTAAAATAAAATCCCTTCCTATTTTCATAACACCCACAGTTTTCACTAGTTTCTTTTATAAATCTGGCTTACCATATGGTAGATTTATTTAGCTTGATGGACTTAAGCATGTTTTGAAGATTCACCCACAAATATTCCCTATATCTGTCCTGGATTCCTGGCCTTATGTAGAACTAAATCTGGTTGACTTTTTTCTGGTGTTTTCTCAAACCCAGAGACACGAATATTTCTTCTAAGAGCTCTGGAATACTAAACCACATCCCCAAAGCAATTTCTTAGCTTGAAGTGGGGTGGAGGGAGAATCACAGAATCACAGAGCGTAATCAGGTTAAAAAAACTACTGATTTAAATCTCTAACATAAATTTTGCAGTACTGTATTTCTTCACATTATCCAGTCCTTGTTACTTTAGCATGCATTTTTATTTGTGAGAAGTGGCAAAGCATATTGATTAAAGGCATAAGTTCTTAGGTTAAACTATCTGCTTATAAATCCTCAACCCATCACTTGCTACCTATGTGATATCAGATGAATTACTTACTTATTGCAATCCTCAGTTAATGGCATAATAAGAATCATCACTCACCTATGTTGTACAAATGAGAAAATAAATGTGATAAGGTTAGCTCAGGATTTTAAATGCAATAATTGATCAGTTAGTACCAGCTTTTTTAGACCGTGAAAAAAATTGATATTGCAGAAAGTCTTAATTAATTTTAAATGTTATTCATCAAAAAATTGCAACAAAATGGCATATACAAGATAATGATAATAATGCCAATTCAGAGGAATATATGAATAAATTTTGGAGGGATTAAGCAAAAACAAATAGTTACTATGGTGAAGCTATAAGTACTCTTTTTAATGATAATGTTTTAAAGTTAGTTTTATCATTTAAAACAAGTGTTTGAAATCCAATTCTCCACTAGATGACTCAATAAAATGTTTTCTTATTGAATTATTTTTCTCATTTTTCCTGGTGCAAAACAAATATATAAAAGTAGTGCTAAATGAGGACAATCTAATAAGAAATCTCCATCTAGGAGATTTTTAGAGGATATTGCCAGTTGGTCTGAACCTGATATCCATTTCCAGAAAATACCATATTATCCAGCAAAATATATTATTAGTCAATAAATGAGTGTACAGAAAGAAAAAATGTAGATAATGTGTGATGACAGAGAGCAGAGAAGAGGAAAGGAAAGAGAGCTCACATCCTGATGTGCTTAACCTGCCTCCTGGGGGACAGCCTTTACCTAGTTCCAAAAAGCATTGATCTAGACCTTTGCAAACACAAGCCTGTCAAACTCACTTCCAGCCTTCCTTCTCACCTCCACAGAAACCTACGTGGACTTCAGCTAATAGAACTGTGCCTTTTAGAAGAATGCTGGAAATCTCTCATTCGAGTAGAGACACTATATTTTAAAAGACAATTTATTGGCTTGTTTGCCATCAGAATTCAAAAGAAGTGGAATATTATGTACATGATTCTATATAAATAGGTTACTAAGAACAGAATAGTAAGGCCTGATTTTTATAAAATACTGAAATTTATCATTTGTAATAATTTCAACAGAACTTAGAACTTACTATAACTAGGCCTATAAGTAAATTTTCCAAGATTTAATATTTTAAAGTTTTAAAGTTGGTTTCACATTTTAAAGAGACCACTTGGTAAGTGAGTAGTTCAAATAAAATTATAGAACATCATATTTAAAAGAATACACACTTTCAAAAACCTTTTATGTTTTAAAAATCCCCATTATAAATGCAAAACAATTGATAGTATACTTGCAAATCACTTTTATTATTGATGAAAGTATCTGTAAGACTTAATTTAAAATTTTAACAATGAAAATAGTGAACCTGTTACTTCGAGAAAAGACAAGCAGAGCCTAACAAAATAAGCTCATATTTTAGGATCATGAATTTATAAAAATAAATGGAACACATCTGAGAATTAGTATATATTTAGTCTAAATATCTATCCCTACTTCAACATCTAATATAGAGTGCTTACTAAAAATTAATATGTTTTACTTTTTGTGAGAGTAGGAGCCAGAAAGAGTTGGAGACACAAATTCAGCTAAACAGAAAAATGTAGTTAATCAGAATGCCTCAGATGCCAGGCTTCTTCTGACTGGCTCAATGTATTTAATATAATATAATTACTATAGAAATCAATGAAAAGCTTTTCTATATTTTTTGTTATTTTGGAAGCATCCAAAAAAATTTAGGCCATTTATATGGATGTGAGTTTCTCATAGTTCATGAATACTGAAGTGTCTATTTAGGAGAAAAAACCCAAAACATTTGAGGGTTTACTAGCAAACAGAACCTAAAACGGTATCAGAAACAAATATTTATTTATAAAGCTATTATATGATTCATTGCTTTTCTTCCAAAGTAACTATTTAAACCAGGCAAAATAATAAAAGCAAGGGCTAGTAAATAAAAGAGCAAGAAGAATGGGTCCAGGAACTTTGCTTTTGTTTCTGAAAGTCGTCCATTTGTTTCCTCAAATTCAATTTACAGCAAGTTGTCGTTATTCTATTCACTTTTAGAGATGAGGTCTCACTGTGTTCCCCAGGCTGCCTCAAAGTCCTGGGCTCAGGGGTTCCTCCAGCCTCAGCCTCTCGAATAGCTGGGACCACAGGTGTGTGCCACGGTACTCAGCATTTTCCACTTTCATCAAAACGTTTTGACAAATATGCTCTTTGTTATGCATTACAATTAATTCAATAATTATACCTGGAAAAATTAGATTACTAAGAAACATAACCCCACAAAACAAAGATTTAACAATATATCTTTTCCTATACATTAATAAGGTCACTCTTTTAAACTAATAATTTTTTATTTTGTGCCTCATGATATCCATGTAATATTTTAGCATTGAAAAATTCAAAAATTTACTAAGAAAAAAACAATTCCTCATGTAAAACTCTTAAAATATCCTTGGTGGAGCTTTTACCACTCATCATTAAAATTGAAGCTTAAATATTTATAGAAGTTGTAGAAATTCTAAGTAGACTAAAAGCATAGATACTATGTGTCTAGAATATAAATTGACAAAAGGAAGAATAATATCTTCCTGAATAGTTTGTAGCCCAAGCAGACAAATGCTAGCTGTGACTCAAATGAACAGTTGAGTATATCTGCTGATTAACTGAAAATGAAGTTACTGAGCTTAAATAAAACAGAGGGAGGGATTATCAGAATATGAAACAATCATAGGTGCACTTCACCTTTAATATCTATAGATGGTGCCAATCTGACACTTAAAATTCCCTAGAAATAACCTAAAAGTTAATAAACATACTTTTTAATCTTCACTAGTCTGAAAAACACATGCGCTGGTCAACTAAAAACGATTTCAGTTCTTCTACCGCAGAGTCACAAGTATCTTATTAAATTTCATGAGCTTCTGCCATTTTATGTATTAAGGACACAGAGATCTTCACTAGTCTTGAATTTTTGCAATCTTGGCAAAAGAATTCCCAAAACTAGCAAGCCCAAAAAGGTAATTAATCGTACAATAACTTATTATCTCTTTCCTCAGAGACCAAAGTAAAAAAATCTTACATCTTATTTTTATACAACCTTACAAAAGTAGATTCTAAATGAGGAGGAAACTTTAAAGATTAACGATCTCTTTTTCTTGATAAGGATGCTGAAACCCAAAGTGATAGGATGTTGTCATTCCTCACTGGTTTACAGCAGAAACAGCATTTGAACTCATATTCCTTAGTCCCAAGCCACTGTCCATCCTGAGCGCCTTCTTCGAGTGAGTCTTCTTGCTCTCTCTCTCTCTCTCTCTAAATCTCTCTCTTTCTCTCTCCTTCTAGCTCTCTCTCTCTTGCTCTCTCCCTCCCCACTTCATAGACTCTTGGGGTTGGGGGGCTTCCTTAGTTTGTCCTTCTTTAAAAACATTAAAGTTATAACTTCCTGACTTGGACAATTCCTGACTTGCCAATACCTCAAGAGTTCCTCAAGTTAGTTTATTAAAAAGCAAAAAGCTTTTTTTTTGTCAGGTTTCTCAATGATCAGATAGTTGTAGATATTTGGCATTATTTCTGAGGGCTCTGGGAAAGGATTCCCTATTTAATAAATGGTGCTGGGAAAACTGGATAGCCATATGTAGAAAGCTGAAACTGGATCCCTTCCTTACACCTTATACAAAAATTAAGTCAAGATGGATTAAAGACTTAAACCTAAGACTTAAAACCATAAAAACCCTAGAAGAAAACCTAGGCAATACCATTCAGGACATAGGCATGGGCAAGAACTTCATGTCTAAAACACCAAAAGCAACGGCAATAAAAGCCAAAATTGACAAATGGGATCTAATTAAACTAAAGAGCTCCTGCACAGCAAAAGAAACTACCATCAGAGTGGACAGGCAACCTACAGAATGGGAGAAAATTTTTGCAATCTACTCATCTGACAAAGGGCTAATATCCAGAATCTACAATGAACTCAAACAAATTTACAAGAAAAAAAACAAACAACCCCATCAAAAAGTGGGCGAAGGATATGAACAGACACTTCTCAAAAGAAGACATTTATGCAGCCAAAAAACACATGAAAAAAATGCTCATCATCACTGGCCATCAGAGAAATGCAAATCAAAACCACAATGAGATACCATCTCACACCAGTTAGAATGGCGATCATTAAGAAGTCAGGAAACAACAGGTGCTGGAGAGGATGTGGAGAAATAGGAACACTTTTACACTGTTGGTGGGACTGTAAACTAGTTCAACCATTGTGGAAGTCAGTGTGGTGATTCCTCAGGGACCTAGAACTAGAAATACCATTTGACCCAGCCATCCCATTACTGGGTATATACCCAAAGGATTATAAATCATGCTGCTATAAAGACACATGCACACGTATGTTTATAGCGGCACTATTCACAATAGCAAAGACTTGGAACCAACCTAAATGTCCAACAACAATAGACTGGATTAAGAAAATGTGGCACATATACACCATGGAATACTATGCAGCCATAAAAAATGATGAGTTAATATCCTTTGTAGGGACATGGATGAAACTGGAAACCATCATTCTCAGCAAACTATCACAAGGAGAAAAAACCAAACACTGCATGTTCTCACTCATAGGTGGGAATTGAACAATGAGAACACATGGACACAGGAAGGGGAACATCACACTCTGGGGACTGTTGTGGGGTGGGGAGAGGGATAGCATTAGGAGATATACCTAATGCTAAATGACGAGTTAATGGATGCAGCACACCAGCATGGCACATGTATACATATGTAACAAACCTGCACGTTGTGCACATGTAGCTTAAAACTTAAAGTATAATAATAAAATTTAAAAAATTTAAAAAATAAAAATATAAAAGCAAAAAGGTAGTCTGTTCCCAAATGATTTCTGTAATTATTTTCTTAGAAGAAATACTTTTTAATAACATGGTGATACTGTAGAGTATACTACCCTGTTATCTGTTAACCTAGATAAAACTAATATAATAAAAAAGTGATCACACAGCAGCAAAATCTATATTGGGATCTTGATTTAAACATGTTAATATTTCTAAGAAGCATACAGAATAGCTCAACTGTTATTAAACTGTCTTTATTAAACAATCTGTCAAAGGACACCTCCATCTTCATAATTAGAGTACATGGTTTAAAAAAAGAAAAATATCATGTATTATGTAGACAAATTTCCACTCTTTCATCTGTTATGACAAACATAGTCTCACAAAGGGAGAAGACCCAAGTATTGATTCCTGTAGAAAATTTACTTCATACTGTTATTTCTCAGTCTCTGCTGAAAGTAGCTTAGAATTTGTTTCCCCTCTCATAAATTCAGTGGTTTTTAGCTATGGCCTGTTTCTTTGAGGACTTCATACTACATTATTTCATTCAGAAAATGTTTCTTCTGTGTTTCCCCCCAAACCATATATGTATATATATATGTATGGATTACATAAATATATAAATATGTATTTCATTTATACACACACGGAGAAAAAGAAACAGACTCCTCTTCTACTAAAGGAATAAAATAAAATGTCATCTATTATTATTATTATTATTATTATTTGAGGCAGAGTCTTGTTCTGTCATCCAGGCTGGAGTGCAGTGGTGTGATCTTGGTTCACTGCGACCTCTGCTTCCTGGATTCAAGCAGTTCTCCTGCCTTGGCCTCCCAAGTAGCTAGGATTACAGGTATGTACCACCAAGCCTGGCTAATTTTTGTAATTTCTTGTAGACACAGGGTTTTGCCATGTTGGCCAGGCTAGTCTTAAATTCCTGGGCTCAAGTGATGTACCTGCCTTGGCCTCCCAAAGTGTTGGGATTACAGGCTTGAGCCACTGCACCCAGCTAAAATGTCATCAATTATTAATACTATATTAAAGGAATTTGATGTTAGTAGTTTTCAAATTACCCCCTAAATGATATGGAATTCTGCTCCAAGTTGATCAACTTGACTGATTCTTAGACATTTTTAGGGATATACACTTAGGTTTTGGGGGTTTTTTAAATTTTAATTGTTATTTATATACTTATTTTTTCATTTACTCCTGAGTGTCAAGAAAGAGATACACACTTATGTTCCATACATACCCTATGCAACCCTTATTTGTTATGGTTATCTAAGTGAAGGTTATGATGATAAAAATAAAATGCACAGTTATCTTTGGACAGCATATCTTATACATCTTGCCCCCCCAAAAAAAAAGGAAAAAGAAAAAAACTTGCATAAGCCTGAAACTTGGATTGCTTTGAAGGTGATTTGTTTTATGTATTTAATAGTTCGTATTAGATCAAACTCATTAAAACAGTATTCAGCATAAATAGTTTTTATCTGGGAAACTGGATAGTTTCACTTGAAAAATTTTTTGTCGACTTCTTGAATAATCATTTTCACTCAGCTTATAGCATAGATGGCCCAACTTTTAAATTCCCATCCTTAACTTTCCTGCTGTCAAGACTGCTATAGAGGTATGCTAATGCTATCTTTGACAGTCTAGTTCAGTGGTTCCATGACCAGATTCCTATCAGATGTACCAGGGACACGGAGACTTCAACCTACACCTGCCAAATCAGACTATCTGGAGGTGAATCTGCTGCATACCTAGGTCTGAGTATCTCTGATTTAGAACAGACTGCTAAGGACTGAGGAGACTAAGAAAGATTTTGAGGCTGTGTTAACCTGAAATACTGTATGTAAAGTCCCAGAAATATCTGTGAATGGTTAGGCTTTGTGTCACCACCCAGATGTCATCTTGAATTGTAATCCCCATAATGCCCATATGTCAAGGGAGAGACCAGGTGGAGGTAATTGAATCATAGGGACAGTTTCCCCCATTCTGTTCTCATTATAGTGAATGAGATCACATGAGATCTGATTATTTTTTAAGGGGCTCTTCCCGCTTTGCTCGGCACTTCTCCTTCCTGCCACCTTGTGAAGGTATCTTGCTTTCCCTTTGCCTTCCACCAGGATTGTAAGTTTCCTGAGGCCTCCTCAGCCATGCTGAACTGTGAGTCAATTAAACCTCTTTCCTTTATAAATTACCCAGTCTCAGGAAGTTCTTTATAGTAGTATGAACGTGGAGTAATATTTATATAATCTGCCAGTAAGGTAAGAGCAAGAAGTGTTCTAAAGTATGCCAATAAAACTAAAGATAGGCAAAAGATAATTGATATCATCTAATAATTAGTCAAAGTGTCTCTGAAATATACCTGTTTTTCTTCAAAAGATCAAAAACTGTCATTTTCTGTTTTTATTGACATATAATACACTTAGAGAAAAGTGGACTTAAGTATATTACTCATTATATTGGCATAAAGTGTACAAACCTGTATAATCAGCCCCCAGAACAAAAAAAACAGACAATTACCAGTCACCCTCATCATTCTCCTTTCCAGTCAGTATACCATCAGAGGAAATTACTATCCTGACTTTCAAAAGGGTAAATTAATTTTGCTGGTTTTCATACTTCATATATGAAGTACATTACAAAATATCCTGAGGGATCCACCCTTATGTGAAGTACAGATTTGAACTCTGCTTAAATCCAGTGGCTGAGTGGACAATGACATTCAGGAACACACAGTGTTCATCTTTTGCTTTAAGCTTATTTCCCTCAACATTATATTTGTGCAATTCATCTATATTGTTGCTGAAGATGTAGATAATTCATTCACATTCTTACGTAGTAAACATTCAGTGTGTCTATTCACCAATTCTATTATTGAGTGAGATTTTGGTCATTTACTGTTTTTGATTACTATGAATAATATGCTGTGAACATTCTAGCATGTGTATTTTGGAAAACATGTATACTTTTTTGAAATTTTTATTTTAGGTTCAGGAGTACATGTGAAGGTTTGTTATATAGGTAAATTGCATGTTACAGGGGTTTGGTATACAGAATATTTTGTTGCCCAGGTAATAAGCATAGCACCTGATAGGTATTTTTTGATCCTCTCCTTCCTACCATCCTCCACCCTCAAGTAGGCCCCAGTGTCTGTTGTTCTCTTCTTTGTGTCCATATATGTGCTCAAAGTTTAGCTCCCACTTATAAGTGAGAACATGTGGTTTTTAGTTTTCTCTTGCTGGGTTAGTTTGCTTGGGATAATGGCCTCTAGCTCCATCCATGTTGCTGCAGAGAACAGGATCTCATTCTTTTTTATGGCTGCATGGTGTTTATGTACCACATTTGCTTTATCCCATCTACCACTGATGGACATTTAGGTTGATTCCGTGTCTTTGCTTTTGTGAAGAATGTTGGAATAAACATATGCACGCATGTGTCTTTATGGTAGAACAATTTATATTCCTTTGGACACATACCAAATAATGGGATTGCTAGGTCAACTGGTAGTCCATTCTGTTTTAAGTTCTTTGAGAAATCTCCAAACTGCTTTTCACAGTGGCTGAACTAATTTGCAATCCTACCAGCAATGTATAAGCATTCCCTTTTCTCCACAATCTCGCTATAATCTCTTATATTTTAACTTTGTAATAATAGCCATTCTTACTAACGTGAGATGGTATTTCATTGTGGTTTTGATTTGCATTTCTTTAATGATTAGTGATGTTAAGCATTTTTTCATGTTTGTTGGCCACATGTGTGTCTTCTTTTGGAAGTGTCTGTTTATGTTTTGCCCACTTTTTAATGGAGTTGTTTTTTTCATATAAATTAAGTTCTTTATAGATTCTGGATATTAGACCTTTGTCAGATGTATAGTTTGCAAGTATTTTCTCCCATTCTGTGGCTTGTCTGTTTACTCTGTTGATAGTTTCTTTTGCTGTTCAGAAGCTCTTTAGTTAAATTAGGTTCCATTTGTCAATTTTTGGTTTCATTGGAATTGCTTTTGGTGTCTTCATCATGAAACCTTTGTCAGTCCTACATCCATAATTGTATTTCCTAGGTTATCTTTCAGAGTTTTTTATAGTTTCAGGTTTCACATTTAAGTCTTTAATCCATGTTGAGTTGATTTTTGTATACGGTATAAGGAAGAGGTCCAATTTCAGTCTTTTGCATATTGCTAGCCAGTTATCCCAGCACCGTATTGCTTGTTTTTGTCAACTTTGTTGAAGATCAGATGGTTGTAGGTGTGCAGCATTATTTCTGGGCTCTCTACTCTGTTCCAATTGTCTATGTGCCTGTTTTTTGTACCAGCACCATGATGTTTTGGTTACTGTAGCCCTGTAGGATAGTTTGCATCTGGGTAATGTAATGCCTCCTGCTTTGGTTTTTTTTTTACTTAGGATTGCCTTTGCTATTCAGGCTCTTTTTTGGTTCCATGTGAATTTTAAAATAGTTTTTTCTAGCTCCATGAAGAAGACCATTGGTAGTTTGATAGGAATAGCATTGAATCTGTATGTTGCTTTGGGCAGTATGGCCGTTTTAACAATATTGATTCTTCCTAACCATGAGCATGAGATGTTTTTTATTTGTGTATTCTTTGATTTATTTGAGCAGTGTTTTGTAATTCTTGTTGTAGAGGTCTTTCACCTCTTTGGTTAGCTGTTTCCTAGGTATTCTATTCTTTTTGAAGCTATCGTGAATGGGGTTGAGTTCTTGATTTGGCTCTCAGCTTGGATGTTATTATTGTATAGGAATGCTACTGATTTTTGTACATTGACTTTGTATCCTGAAATTTTGCTGAAGTTGTTTATCAGGTCAAGGAGCTCTTGGGCAGATACTATGGGGTTTTCTAGGTATAGAATCATATCATCTGCAAACAAGGATAGTTTGTCTTCTTCTCTTCCTATCTGGATGCCTTTTATTTTTTTCTTCTGCCTGATTGCTCTGTCTAGGACATCCAGTACTATGTTGAATAGGAGTGGTGAGAGAGGGCATCCTTGTCTTGTTCTGGCTTTAAGGAAAATGCTTCCAGCTTTTTGCCATTCAGTGTGATGTTGGATGTGGATTTGTCATAGATGGCTCTTATTATTTTGAGGTATGTTCCTTCAATGCCTAGTTTGTTGAGGGCCTTTAACATGAAGGGATATTGAATTTTTATTGAAAGCCTTTTCTGCATCTATCAAGATGATCATGTGGTTTTTGTTTTTAGTTCTGTTTATGTGAAAAATCACATTTACTGATTTGCATATGTTGAACCAATCTTGCATCCCAGGGATAAAGCCTAGTTGATTATGATGGATTAACTTTTTGATGAGCTGCTGGAATCAGTTTGCTAGTATTTTGTAGAGATTTTTGCATCTGCGTTCATCAAGGATATTGGCCTGAAGTTTTCTTTTGGTTGTTGTTGTGTCTCTGTCAGGCTTTGGTAACAGGATTACGCTGTCCTCATAGAATGACTTAGGCAGGAGTCCCCCTCCTCAATTTTTTGGAATAGTTTCAGAAGGAATGGTACCAGCTCTTCCTTATACATCTGGTAGTATTTGGCTATGAATCAATCTGGTCCTAGGCTTTTTCTGGTTGGTAGGCTTGTTACTGATTGAATTATAGAACTCATTATTGATTTGTTCAGGGATTTAATCTCTTCTTGGTTCATTCTTGGGATGTTGTATGTATCCAAACATTTATCAGTTTCTTCTAGGTGTTTGAGCTTGTGTGCATAGAGGTGTTCCTAATAGTCTCTAAGGGTTCTTTGTATTTCTGTAGGGTCAGTGGTAATGTCCCCTTTGTCATTTATGATTGTATTTATTTAGATTTCCCTCTTCTTTCTTTATTAGTCTAGCTAGTAGTTTATCTTATTAATTATTTCAAAGAACCATTTCCTGGATTCATTGATCTTTTGTATGGTTTTTCATGTCTCAGTTTCCTTCAGTTCAGCTCTAATTTTGGTTATTTCTTGTCTTCTGCTAGCTGTGGGATTGGTTTGCTTTTGTTTCTGTAGTTCCTCTAATTATGATATTAAGTTGTTAACGTAATATCTTTCTAACTTTTTGATGTGGATGTGTAGTGCTATAAACTTCTCTCTTAACGCTGCTTTGGCTGTGTCCCAGAGATTTTGGAATGTTTTATCTTTGTTCTCATTAGTCTCAAAGAATTTCTTGATTTCTGCCTTAATTTCATTATTTTCCCAGAAGTCATTCAGGAGCAGATTGTTCAGTTTTTATCTAATTGTGTAGTTTTGAGTGAATTTCTTAGCATTGATTTCTGTTAGTTCTTATTAAATAAACCTAGAAGTTAAATTACTTGTTACCAGAGTATTTGTTTATTACAGAGTTATTGGACTAATTTACAGTTCCATCAGCAGCGTATGAGAGACTTCCAGTTTCTCTGTGCCTTTACCAAAATTTCCTTTTTTAATCATTCTAATGAGTGTGAAGTATTATTATACCATATGCTGGATTTAATTCACCTTTCTTTTATAAATTATGAATTTAAGCATCTATTTATAGGTTTCCCCAGCATAGGGATATCCTTATTCATGAAGTCACTTCATATCTTGTCCGTTTTTCAATTAAGTCATCTGTGTTTTTCTTATTGATTTATAGAGGTTCTTATATCTATTCTTTTTATTGATATATAATATTTGTTCATTTTTATGCGCTACATGTGGCATTTTATTAAGTCATAGAACACGTAATGATCAAATTAGAATATTTAGAGTATCCATCACCCCAAGTATTTACAATTTATATGTGTTGGGAATATTTAAAGTTTTCTCTTCTAGCTCTTTTGAAATATACAATACATTGTTGTTAACTACAGTAACTCTACTCTCCTAAGATTGGAGTTTATTCCTTCTGTTTAACTCTACATTCATACCCATTAACCAACCTCTCTTCATCCATCCTACCCACAAACACACACACAACCTGCCTAGCCTCTAGTCTATCAATCTACTCTCTAACTCCATGAGGTCAACTCCTTTAGCTTCCACATATGAGTAAGAACATGTAAAATTTGTCTTTCTGTACCTGGCTTATATCACTTCACATAATGACCTCCAATTCCATCCAGGTTGCTACAAAAATGATTTCATTCTTTTTTATGATTGAATAGTATTTCATTCTATATATATGTCCATTTTCTTTATTCATTCATCCATTGATGGACACAGGTTGATTCCATATCTTTGTTATTGTGACTAGTGCTGCAATAAACATAGGGGTGCAAGTATTGCTTTAATATAATTTATTTCCTTCCCTTTGAATAAATGCCCAGTAGTGGGAATGCTAGATCATATTGTAATTCTATTTTTAGTTTTTTGAGAAATCTCCATACTGTTCTCCATAGTACCTGCACTAATTTACATTCCAACCAGCAGTGTACAGGAGTAGTTTCTCTTTTCTCTGCATCCTCACGAGCACCTGCTATTTTTGTGTTTTTATTAATAGCCATTCTAAAAGGAGTAAGATAGTATCCTATCGTGGTTTGATTCGCATTTTTCTGATGATTAGTGACATTGAGTACTTTTTTAATATAACTGTTAGCCACATATATGCCCTCTTTTGAGAATCTTCTATTTATGTCCTTTGACCAGTTTCTATTGGAATTATTAGTTTTTGTTTGTTTGTTTGTTTGTTTGTTTAGTTGTTTGAGTTCCTTGTATAATCTGGATATTCACCCCTTGTCAGATGAATAATTTGCAAATATTTTCTCCAATCCAATAGGTTGTGTCTCCACTCTGTTGCTTGTTTCCTGTGCTGTGCAGAGGCTTCTTAGTTTAATATAGTCTCATTTTTCTATTTTCGTTTTTGTTGCCTGTGGTTTTGAAGTCTTAGCCATAAAATATTTGCCTACACGAATGTTCTGGATTATTTCCTCTATGTTTCTTCTGGCAGTTTTATAGTTTTGGGTCCTATGTTTAAGTCTTTAAGCTGTCTTGAGTTGATTTTTCTTTATGGTGAGAGATAGGGTTCTGGGTTCATTCTTCTGCATCTAGAAATCCAGTTTTCCCAGCACCATTTATTGAAAAGTGCATCCATTCCCCCAAGGTATGTTCTTGCCACCTTTGTTGAAAAGTAATTGGCTGTAAATACATACATTTATTTCTGGGTCCTCTATTTTGTTCCATTGATCTATGCATCTATTTTTAACATAAACCATGCTGTTTTGGTTATTTTAGCCTTGTAATATATTTTGAAGTCAGTTAATGTGAAGTTCTAGCTTTGTTCTTTTTGCTCAGAATGATTTTGGCTGTTGAGCCCCCCAATAGATGTGGGGATGTCAGTAGGGCTCTAGGATTGTGGAGATGTGGGGAATATTGGACCCCAGAAAAGGATGCAATCTGGTGGGGGCTGGGCTCTCAGAATGGCACCATGCTGCAGCTGCCTAGGATTCAGGGTGTGTGGGACCTGGCATGAGTGCCTTCTCTGGAGCAATGCTGTCATGTGGTCTCCAGACAGATCCTTATGCTATTCTCAGGGGCCATGTGGGTTTCTCTCATGGCTAGGTTTGCAGGAGTTTGCCCTAGGAATGTGAACTACTTGAGATCTTTCACTTACCCTTTCCCCACACTGGGAACTCTCTTTGGATTCCCAGACAATCCTGGCTGAGCTGGCTGCCTCACTTCCCTCTCCTTCTGTGTCTCATGTGTTTCCTATCACTTCTGTTAAATGCCAGTTTTCTCTCTTAGATTCTCTATTCGATGTGTGATTATTTACTTGCTATTTTGGTTCCTCTTACTGGAGGAGGCATCCACCAGATGCCTGTGGTCTGCCCCCTTGAAGCCCTTCTCTTTATATATTCTTGACAGAAGTCTTTTGTCGTATATATGGGGTGTGAATATTTTCTTCCAGTCCACATCTTTCCCCTTAATCCACTTATGGTGTCTTTGGCAAACAGAAATTCTTAATATAATCCAGGTTTTCAATTCTTTCTTTTATGCTTAATGCTTTTTATGTTCTATTCAATATTTCTTTGCCTATTCCAAGGTCACAAAAAAATGTACACCTATATTTTGCTCTAAAATCCCTTTGTTTTGCTTTACATATTTAGCCCAGTAATCAATCTAGAATTGACTCTTGTATATGGTGTGAGATAGGAGTCAAGGTCCTTATTTTTATAGCTATCTATTAAACCCAGCATCATTTAATGAAAAGATAAAGCATTCTTTCCCAATCAGTTGAACATATATACCATAGTCTGTTTCTGAACTTTATCCTGTTCCATTTGTAGTTTATTCCTGTACCAAACTCACACTGTCTTTGTTATGTTTTATAGGTATACCGATAAGCATTTTGTTTGTAGTTATGATGTTAGCATATTTAAATAAGGAATTCTGTGGTGAATGTGAGCATGTGGGGTTTAGATGTGTGCGTGCATTTGTGTGTGTGTGTGTGCTTGTGTGTGACTGTTTCACAGAGCTACACAAGCTTCATTTCTCAAATTATGGACTACTAACTTAATTATGAACTAATCAAGGTGCCAGATCACATGGTTTTAACATAAATTTAAAGATACATATTTAAGAAGAAGAAAGTAACTTTTGAGTGCTGGACTTCCACATGTAAATGTATAATGTAATAGATTCCTAATAGTAAGGAATCTATTGTAAGCTTTTCTGAACACAATGCTAGCAACATTCTTTGTAAGGCAGACTTCTTGTCCAGTTAACTGGTGACATTTGTTCCTTATAACAAATCTAGCCACATCTCTACTGAATAAAAGCAACTGCCCACATAATTGATTATACTGCTGGCCTTGATGGAAAAGATTTTAACTTACAACAGTGTATAAAATATTGCAATCCACTAATAATTCCATGTTCTACCTAGTGGTATGTCAATTCTAATAATAAAATAAGATAATTGAGATTCTTAGGTAAAAGACATCCAATCTGAAAAGCAGTCTTTCATAGGTTAGGATTTAGAAAACTGAGTCAATTTTTTAATAAATCAAGAAAGGGGGCTGGGCACAGTGGCTCACACTTGTAATCCCAGCACTTTGGGAGGCCGAGGCGGGTGGATCACGTGAGGTCAGGAGTTTGAGACCAGCCTGGCCAAAATAGTGAAACTTCGTCTCCACTAAAAATATAAAAATTAGCCAGGCACAGTGGCACATGCCTGTATTCCCAGCTATTTGGGAGGCTGAGGCAGGAGAATCACTTGAACCTGAGAGGCGGAGGTGGCAGCAAGCCAAGATCGCACCACTGCACTCTAGCCTGGGCAACAGAGCAGCACTCCATCTCCAAAAAAAAGTATACAAAAAAAAAAGTATACAATTACAGCTAGATAGGAGAAATAAGTTCTAGTGTTCTATAGTAGTATAAGATAAGTATAGTTAACAAGAATATATTGTATAGTTTCAAATAACTAAAAGGAGGACATTGAATGTTCCCAACACAAAAAAAATTATAAATTTTTGATGTGATGGATAGCTGATTATCCTGATCTGATCACTATACATTATATGTATCACAACACCACCATGTACCCCATAAATGTGTACAACTATTATGTGTCAATTTTTAAAAAATATTTTAAAGAAAGAACTCTTGCTTAAGTTAAAAAAAAAAAAAAAAGGCCGGGAGACTAGAGGAACTAAATAAACTCTTTCGACTGCTTACTATAATTACGTTTACTAATCAATTGCTCACTTCAATTTTTTAGGTAGAACTAGTTTTAACATACCCTGTTATTTTAAAAGTCAAATTAATGTATTTTACATGGTCAGGATCTGTAGAAAACAGACTCTGAATCAGAGACTGAGTGCAAATGTTTTATGGAAATGATCTTGGGAACAACACCTCCAATGAAGTAAGGGAAGCAAGATTAGGCAAAGGGAGCACTTATCCTGTGTTATGAGGTCTCAGTCACTCCCATGGAGAGCTCTGAAGCTGAGATAGTGCTTCAGAGATATCCTGAATTAGTAGAGGTGACTGGACCTTTGCGCCTACACATAGACCACTAATTGGATATGAAATTCCCCACTAGAAACGGAGCATAACCATGGTCACGGCAGTTCCCTTTTGAAGGCAATTGCAGGGGAGTGATTCAACTGCGAGCCATCAGCAGGCAACAATCCCAGCAGCTAGGTACTGCTGTCCCAGAAGGTGGACTCTGGGTAATGAGCTACGGCATCCACTGCAGTTCACCATTGTCCCTTTTGGATTCACTTGCTTCATATAAGTTTACTCCAGACAGGTTTTCTGGGATTCTGATTGGTCCTATTTCCTGAAAAAAAAATAATAAAAATGGCAATAGGACAAACAATAGTCTCCGTGGCTTCAGCTAGTTTCAAGGTTAACTAGTAATCACCATTCTTCCTGCAGTATTCATTCCAAGTTGATCACATCCTCAGCACGTGCCTCTGCTGTTCTAGGTGGCTTACCTAGTGGAATGACCAAAGCTGTCATCTCTGAGAGAACTGAAATCTTAGGGATTATGCCTTTCTCATGTCATGGCTGCAGGACATGTCCACTTACTGTCAAAATTTGGCATTACTAGCAATAGGCACCCTAGAGGATCACTTGGATCTAAATCTTATTCTCTACTGATCCCATAGTATAACAATAGTCCTACTTCCTGATTTTCAAGTCAATTTGCCCTACCAGTTTGGCGGGAAAAAAAAAACGGCACCTAAAGTAACTGAATAACAGCCATAGCTCAAAGTTTACTGAGAATCTTGATGTATTTCCTGGTGAAAGCATTCCACTTCTTGGAACCAAAATTTATAGAACCACACAATCTAGTGTTACAGTGACAGAAAGCACAAATTTCCCTGGTAGATTACTGAGATGCTGGTCATACGATCCACTCCTACTTCCATCCTTTGATTCCAAGATCTATGTATTGTACTCACTGAGAACACGTGGCCATTGATTTAGAGTGTATTCTGCAGCTAAGAGAATGGCATCTTATCTTTGCAAGGGCAAGGTATCATCTCTAAACTGACGTATCAACAATTCCTCCAGAAAGCATTGCCAGGGTGAGAATGGGTGGTGACTATAAGTGAGCAAGAGGTTTCTTGTTGGAATGATAGAAATATTCTAAATTGGATTGTAGTCACAGTTATATAACCTATACATATGCTAAAATTCATTGAATTGTACATTTTAAATGAGTGAATTTAATAATACATGAATTATTTCTTGATAAAACTTTTTAAAAGGCAATTCTATCACTCTATCTGGCCATCAGCTTCTCTATGGAATAGTATGTGATAGGGCTAGTAGACTCCATGTTCATATTCCCAAGGTCACACTTCCTTCTGTAAGGTGCATCCTTGGATATGATGCTACATTCTGAGCTATGGAATAAATACTCTGCCCGCTCTCAAAGAGTGACTCTGGTTGAAGTCCTGCAGACTGGAAAGAAAAAACATAATATGTGTCTATTTCCATCAAGATGATTCATTCTCCTTCCAGGATGCAAGGGGTCTAATATATAAAGTTGACACCAGTGACTGGTAGCTCCCCTAGAAAGATGGTGTCATAGGCCGGGCGTGGTGGCTCACGCCTGTAATCCCAGCACTTTGGGAGGCCGAGACCATCCTGGCTAACACAGTGAAACCCCTTCTCTACTAAAAATACAAAAAATTAGCCGGGCGTGGTGGCGGGCGCCTGTAGTCCCAGCTACTCGGGAGGCTGAGGCAGGAGAATGACGTGAAGCCGGGAGGCAGAGCTTGCAGTGAGCAGAGCTTGCGCCACTGCACTCCAGCCTGGGCGACAGAGTGAGACTCCATCTCAAAAAAAAAAAAAAAGAAAGAAAGAAAGAAAGAAAGAAAGAAAGATGGTGTCATAGTAGGGACTCACCTTTGGTCTCTGTTGCCAGCAGGTTGAATCTTCAGCAATAGCAGGAGCTAGATCAGTCTTCGTAAGAGGGAGGCCACATTGTTGAGCCCATGCATAGCTTTCATCCCTGCTGCCATGGTCATGCTGTTCATTGTTCATGCTGTTCATTGTGCCAGCACGTGGTTGGTGGATGAAGAAGATGGCTGGTTCTTCTCCTTGATTGTTTAGTGCTTATTCCATGATGGATTATTACAACCATTTGATACAAAGATCTTCACAATTTACACTCAAGCTCTCTAAGGCTTCTTAGGTCTAGCCACATGCGTCCAGCCCAATATTTCATTTTCTATGCCCCTGAACAGACAGCCAAAATATTCACCACTGTCTATGAGTTCATATGTATATTTTACTCAATCCTACAGCTTTGTCCACTGGGAGAATTTCCCATGCCCCTACTGTATTTCAGGGCCACTCCCAGATATGTTTGTAATGCAATAGTAATACATTTCTAGCTTGCACCGCATAAAGAGTAAATCCGTCTATGAACCAAGCTTCACCTTTTCCCTTCTCTGTAAGCGGTTATAGACTGCTTTAACTGGTACAGCAGCTGCAATAGTTAATTGAGGGAGAGGCATCAGTGGAACACCAATGGATTTCATGGACGACTGGGCCACTCATTCATACATATTATGACCTCTGGCCCTGCTTATGACTGATTCCAGACATACCACTTCCTTCTTAGGATAAACTGCTGACAGTTCATCATGTAGATGGTCTAACAAAAACCAGCTTATAATGGGAAGTTCCGGTCATAGGGTCACTTGTTGTCTCATTGTCAGGAATGCTGTTTCAACTAGGGTCCAGCAACACAACAGGAACTATACTTCTGAAGGCTGTATAACTCTCTACTGCAGAGATCATGGCCTTGCTCCTGAACCCTGGGGGTCTATTGCAGTTATCCTACCAGATGTAGCCAGCAATCTCACACAGCAACTTTTCCTACCACAGTTTCCTCTAATAGCACCGGATCTGTCAGGCCATATGGCCCACACATCAAGGCTGCTGCACCTTACCTTGGACCTGCTACAGAGCACTTCTTTGCTCTGAGTCCCACTCAAAGCTGGCAGTGTTTATGTCACTCAGTAAAAGCATCTAGCAGCATTCCCAGGTGTGAAAGATGCTGCCACCAGATAAATACATGATGACCTCTTCTTTACAGGTCAGGTGTTTATCTGGAGGCAGCATGTTTCACACTTGGGAATGCTGCTAGATGTATTGTTGTACAGTTATATATAGCTGGAATATATTGAGCTAGAAGCGTGCCTCCTTTTTATCACTTCCAGTCCAGAAACCAAGCCACCCCCAACAGGGAGGCTGAGTTGCAGAGGAAAGAAAGATGTGCGCATGCATCTCCCCGTCTGTGTGTCTGAATATACGATCTATCTAGAATTGTCATTGAATTTGGACTTAGCTAGAATTTCAAAGGCTAATATGATTAAATATCTTATTTTGGAGATGGAATATTAAATACAAAAAACTTCAAATATCTACTCCCAAGTCACCCAGTTCACTTGTGGCTGAGCTGGAACAGAGTTGAGGATTTTAGGTATCAGGTAACCATCAGAGTTTGTGCAGATGTCACTCTACCGATTAACGGAGTGCCCCAAAGAGTACGATGAAAACAATCTTCCTGCTTTTCTTGATTGCCATTTGGCTTTACGACTATATGTTGTATTTTTCCCTGCTTTAACCTATCCCTCAATATCCCCAGCCTATTTATTCATTAAAGTTCATCAAATAATAGTGCCCCTATTCTACGCCTTTCCCAGTTGAGCCCTGTTAAACAACTACCTGCTGAGACACCTTCACCAGGTTTCTAATCTACTCTTGCAGGACATGTCCCTGCCAACTCCCCTTTCATTTCCATACAACCCCTATCTTGGACCCTGATGTAGTTTATATTCAAAACTGGCTACCCTGCCAGGGCAGTAAGTGTTCATTAATTATAAAGTATTCATAATATGCTTCTCTTTTTTTTCCTTTCTGTTTCTCTGGTAGCCCTCTATCAACTTGGGACAAGAGGGCACCTATCGTTTGAGTATTGTCAGTAGGTAAACTAGGGAACAAAAAAAAATCTAAAATCTTGGCTTTTAAACTCAAAACCTGAGTACAGAAGGAAATTCTGGAAAGATAATGACCTGAACAAGCCTCTAGAAACTGCTAGCCTCTAGTGCAAGTTTCTAGCACTAGCTCTGAATTATCTGTCTTTGACCAATTACAAAAAAAAAAAAAAACTGGTTGGGTTTCATAAGAGCTGAAATGAAATGAACTTGTGGGCTCTGAGGAGCTTCCTGTGGAAGAAAATTGGCAGTATTCCTTACTGCCCCCATGCCTCGGTGACTCACTGAACACCTAAAGAAGAGTCTTGAAACCTGAGAGTGAGGATCACAAAGCAATAGACCCTTGAAATAGTTTAACCTATGGAGATCTATGAATGGGTTGAATGAGGGCAACGGGTAGGCGGAGTCTTTGCTTCCCTAAGGCTGAGCAGGTATGAAGACATCAGGGAATAGAGGGATGCGTCAATGGACTCCCTGCCACCATCTCCTGGCAGATGATCACTTCACCTCTCACCTCTCACCATTTGTAGGACACCCAGTGCTTAAAGTTTGTCAACCAAAAAGCCAGCAAAGAAAAAGTAGCACCCCAACCAGTGAGCTAGCAGCCAGAGTGTGCTAGAGAGTCAGAGTAAAAAGAACACATGGACAGCCCATAGACCTGCCAAAGGAGACAGGTGGCAACTATAATAGAAAAATCATTAGGGCACTCAAGGAGATTCAAGTATGGCATCCCTAGAGAGGCTGACAATTGCAGGTTGGGCCAGCTAGAACATGGCTCAAGACTCCACAGAATGGACAGGACACAGCAATCCCTTTGTCCTATTTTCAGATCTTTTTCTAAGGACAGTTTTTCTAAAAAAGAAAAGGAAAAAAGAAATATAAATTAGAATGGAAGGAATAAAACCAAGTATATCAGTTATAATACTAAACATTAACATATTTATCTGACATTAAAAGCAAAGACTATCAGAAACTACAAAACCTAATGCCAGCTATAAAAGCTGTACACCAAAATAAGGCACTTGAATTTATTTTTTAAATGATTGAAAACAAAACATTGAGCAAATAATTATGAAGCAAATGGGAAAAAAAGACAACAGGCATGGTTATATGAAAATCGCATATGGTATCTTTTAAACTGTTAAAAATATTTTCAGAAAATTTGATATGAATAATTGTCAAAGTTTTATCTCAAACTTTCTATAAAGAAGGAGACCTAAAACAGGCCAATTAAAACACTTCTTACTTGGTACAGATATTTACATTTTAAGAAAAAGAAAAGGAGTGGTTAAATACTGGGTTACATATGATTAAAGAAAAAAAAAGGAACAGGGAGAAAGGAAAAGAACACTTGATTGATGATGATGAGGCTCCTGATGGACAGCCAGCTGGGTCCATGGGTAATGAGTTTTCAGTAAGGGCTCTTAATCTTATTAAAATTTGTCAGAAAATTGCTTAAGCATTTTCAAGAATGCAAATTTCTTTCTAGAAAGAGATTTTGAATTACCTTACATGGACCAGGCTGGGCACAATTTTCCTTTTATAAATAATAAAAACAGTAATCAGGAAAAAAAAAAGAGACATTGGGTAGTAATAGCAAATACAATTTGTCTTAAATTTGCATGGAACATAAAACAGATAATCTAAATATGCTGCTTTTAAAAAGAAAATGCATAGTGATTATCTTTAATGTACTCTTTTCAGAATGGAACAAATCTACCAGAAAACAAAAAAGGGTAAAGTCATTAGCAATATAGTAAGTCAATCAGTAAGTTTGATTGAATATAGAGAATTTTTCACCCTTTGAACAGAGAATATGCATTTTTCACATATACATAGAATATTTATAAAACAATCAGGCACAACCCCTAAAGATGAAAGGCTTTAGCAGAGGTATAATACAAAAAGATTGGAAAGGATATTTATTGGACAAATCTGTTTTATTCTGCCCTCCACAACTGTTTCCACTCTAACCGATTAAGATCCCAAAAGCTAGAGAGAAGGAAGAACCTTAGAGGATGTGTCCACTGATTATAATTCTGTAATGTTTTTCTTGTATTTTTCCACAGCCATAACACCATATCTGTGTTTTCCAATTTTAGCTTCTTTAAAATGAAAAGGAGAACTTTGGGGGAAAAAAAATCCACAAAATTAGAGTTCCAAATTCTAGATTTCCAGATTTTTCCCCACCCCTTACAGTTGTTTTCGCATACTTAAATCAACAGCATTTTTTCATCCAATTTGTATTGCTTGTTTGCCAAAAGCATTCAAATTATTTTATTTTTTTTTTTTTGAGACGGAGTCTCGCTCTGTCGCCCAGGCTGGAGTGCAGTGGCGCGATCTCGGCTCACTGCAAGCTCCGCCTCCCGGGTTCACGCCATTCTCCTGCCTCAGCCTCCCGAGTAGCTGGGACTACAGGCGCCTGCCACCACGCCCGGCTAATTTTTTGTATTTTTAGTAGAGACGGGGTTTCACCGTGTTAGCCAGGATGGTCTCGATCTTCTGACCTCGTGATCCACCCGCCTCGGCCTCCCAAAGTGCTGGGATTACAGGCGTGAGCCACCGCGCCCGGCCTCAAATTATTTTAATAAAAATAATAGCTTTCCTTTTTTGTGTGCATGTTTCTTGGTTCACAAATTAACAAGTGACTTCAAATTTGACTCATAGCACAACTTGGGCTAGCAGAAAATATAAACTTACAAAGGAGTGGCTACTAGCTACTCTCATTTTGCTTGTCCTGAGTATTAGTCAAGTTTGTTTTATAGGGAAGCTGAGGAATGTTAGTTAACCCATAATTTATAAATTGGCATTTGGAAGACAGACTTTCATGTAGTTGCATTATTTACTTCTGTGCTAGCTTTTAAGTCTTCATTTTGACAAATGTGAGGTTAAGAAAAGTGAATCTTCTTCTCTGATAAATTTTAATTACTGTATGAAAAGTGCTAAATACCCAAAAATATAAACTGTTAATTTCTAGGGAAAAAAGTAGACATAATGAAATAAGTCAGCTGAGGTATTTACAGGTGAAAAATGATAAACATCTAGGAACAAATGTTAGATTCAAAGATTTCCCTAATATTCAATGCTTTTCATGCTTTGTGTTTACCTGTTTACAAATTTAGAGATTCACTCTATTATGATAACTTAAGAAGGTGGTATGAACAGTGAGTAATATATTCTGATTAGAGTCCCAAAACTTCCTTTCTACCAGCCTAAGCTCCTAAAAGATTGACTTCTCAGGTCATTTTGTCATTTAATGTTAAGAATGGGACTCAATTGTGTGTGGTGGTTTTTTGGGGGTTTTTTTTGGTTTTGTTTTTGTTTGTTTTGTTTGTTTGTTTGTTTTTGAGGCAGAGTGTCTCTGTCACCCAGGCTGGAGTGCAGTGGCGCAATCTCTTCTCACTGTAATGTCTGCCTCCCGGGTTCCAGTGATTCTCCTGCCTTAGCCTAATGAATAGCTGGGGTTACAGGTGCCTGCCACCATGCCCAGGTAATTTTTTTGTATTTTTAGCAGAGACAGGGTTTCACTATGTTGGCCAAGCCAGTCTCAAACTCATTACCTCAAATGATCCACCCAGCTTAGCCTCCCAAAGTGCTGGGATTACAGGCGTGAGCCACCACGCCCAGCCTCAACTGTGTTTTAAGCCTTGTGATGGATATAGTGAAAATTAATATGCAGAATTATTAAATTCAGAATCTGATAGTTTTAAAGTAAAAAAGGGGACATTAGTGTAAGTATGGGAATATACAGCAGGAAAGAGGGAGATTTTGCTGGTTAACTCTTAAAATGTGAACCAAAACCTCAGAAATTCTTGTCTGTCATCAGATTTAGCAAATATGTATTAAGTGGTCACTGTGAACCAGATACAATGTGGCATTACTTTCAAATTTCAACTCTGTGTTTTTCTTGTCTTACATGGAACTAAACATTAACCAGTGTCCCAAACTAGTATTTTTTATTAACTCTTTTGCTACATATTAGCCTAGTAACTGCACAATTGTTTAATTTGTGTTATACATACCTCATTCTCACTGCCCTATTAAACACAAGTCCAAACACACTTTACCTGTGGTACCAATTAAAAATTGCTGGCTTTAATTTAATTTTCCAATTTCTAATAATGACACAAATGTTAATGGATAATTTAATTAATAGAAGCTGTTGTGTAGATTGCTAGTTAGAAAGTTTCTGTTGCTTCTGCGTTAAATTATTAAGCACAAGTATTGTAACACATTCAGAGTACAGAGGGTAGATTTGGACATGATCATAAACATTTATGATTTATTTGTTAATCATTCTCTAAACTGAAATATAGATAGATAGATAGATAGATAGATAGATAGATAGATAGATAGATCCCCCTAGGGATTTATATTTACTGAACTCTAATCTTCCAACTTTTATGTTATTCTTATATGATTTAGTCCATCAATTCTGGACTAAGTTATTACACTGGCCACCTAGATGTCTTAACGCATATCCACAGGAGTCCACCTGGAGATGACTTGGTATTGGCATAAAACTAGTCCATCCAATGTGTCCAGAACATATGCTACCTACGTGGGGCATATAACTTCTATATGAGATCATTATTTATAAGCCAGCATTATAATATATGGATTTAAATTCATAACCTCTAATTCATAAATGAGCATACAATTAAATGGTACTTTAACTTTTACATAATACAAAAAAGATTACATTTTCTCATTTGCATGTGAAAGTACCTAAGCAAGATGAGAAAAAATGGAAATGAGAAGCTATAGAGCTAAGGTTTTCATTTATACCAATAATGCTGAAAATATAACACAACGTTTCCTGTCTTTAACGTATTTCAGTTCCAGTAACATTCAGCCTACATTAATGAAATGATTCCAAAGTTCATGAGCTCAATATGTTGCTACAAAAAAAGCAACTGGATATAGCATACTCCCTATTTGGCAAAGAAGAAAGAAAGTGTGTTTCCTATGGGGAAAAATAGCACTAAAAGAATTCCAAAATAGATAGCACTTTGAGTTTTATATATGCTTCTCCATGTATGGCCAACAGCCTGGTCTATGGCATGAAGAGCACAGATAAAACTGTGAGCAATCAAAACAGGTCGCCTCGTGATTTGGAGTATTAGCCATACTGTTTATGTTTTCATGAAAGTGTAAGTAGTCTACAACATTTTACTGATTCACAGAAGAGAATGATTTAGTTAAGGAAATAATAAACTCCTAGTTTTCCCAAGCCCTTTTGAATGGCAGACACTTAATATTTGGAGTATTGTCTGAATCTACTCAACTATAAATAAACACCATCTATTTGGTATTAAGAACATACTTTAAAACCACGAAGGAAGTAATCACAGATTAGGTTCTCAGTGTCTGCCAAGAACTCAGCAGTTGGACATCATACAATAGATATTTAGTTTAAAGAAACCCCATTTATTTTTGAAGATATTTGTTCTCTGAGAGGAAGGAGCAAGGAAGAGCAATTCAAAGCCTACCACACTTTCCAGGCACAATATAAGGACAAGGGCCATCTTCGTGGATGTTTGTTCTGTGCTGAGCTTAATGCTCTGACATTGCCATCTTGAAACGCTTAGTAACTCTATAACAAGGGGCCCTACACTTTTATTTTGAACTGGGCCCCAGAAATCATGTAACTAGTCCTGAGAACAAGATTGGCTATGACTTAGGACACAGTCTCCGTGCTTTAGTTTGCCACCAGGATATAGCTAAGCATAAGTCTTTGTTCTGTTTTTCTACTATTTCACATTCTCCATGAATATTATTGCTCTAATTTCACCCAGATCCTGCATCATGACCCTCTTTCTTTTGCAAAAAAAAAAAAAAAAAAAAAAAAAAAGCACTAGAAAGTTACAGATTTAGCAACTATAAATATAAACAAATGGACATAAAATTATCTTAATAATACAGAACATATTTTGCAGAGAGGCCAAGTTAATGTCAACTAAAAATAGTTAAATTTTTTAACATAGAAAAAATGCAAATAAGAATAATAAGATTAAGCATCAATTTTTCTCCTAAAAGAAAAATTCACATTTGATCACCAGTATGTTCTAGAGAAGTTGTAGCATTATGTTTAAGTATCAGAAACATATGTGAATATATATCTATCTATAGCAAATCTTGTGACTGCTTATTGAAAAAATATTTTGAGGAGTAATATATGATTAATTTCTTAATATTAGAAATTGCTTCAGTATAATAAAGCTTTAAACACTTTTAGAGCATTCATTTCTGTGAATTAAAGGAAGTGTTCTGGCCAAACACCTGTTGCCTCTTAAACTCTTTCAAAACCAGAAAGAGCAGGTAATAATAACCCAACCCAAGTTACAGTTGCATAGTTAACCCCTAAGTATTATCCCAGAATTTATTACTGGCATCATTCAAATGATACCTGAGTCAGAGCATCAAAATCCTCTAGCTCCAACAGCCCGAAGGCACAACTCAGGTTATATTAATATTAGTGTTCAAAAGTCACTGATTCTTCATTCCTACAATGACTTTATACTGTTTCTCATTTCTTTGTGGAAAAAAAAATTCTTTCAAATACTTGTATAGTCCTGAGGCCATATTCTCAGATAAAGCAAGTACCTTATTAGTGATTTAAAGTCACAAATGTTAGGAAACTCTAAGGTCCTTACAACCTCTCCTACACAATGTTGCTAAAAATCCTGCCCCAAAGAGAGCCAACAGTCAAATAATGCTAGCTATGCACCAGGCACTATTCTAGACGCTTTACCTATACAATTCATTCAATTCTGCCACCAGTTAGCTACTATTTTACACATGAGAAAACCAAGGCACAAAGAGGTTGAGTAATTTGCCTAAAATTACACATCTGGCAGTGGTAGAGTTGGATTTCCAGTCCAGAAAGTCAGCTCGAATCTGTGCTCTTAAGCAATATGTCTCACAAGAATTTTATTCCTTTTGTTTTTGGAGTTCCTACCATTAAGATGCAAAGGCTATTGTTCAAATGAGGCTGCCTTGGAATCGATCATCTCTAAGGAAGAAGGGAGAAGCCAGCTTATATAGTTGGATGAGAACAAGAGGTCAACAGAGACCAATGGACAAAGAAAGAAACGGATGGGAAAGCAAACAGGAAGAAGCGTGTGCCTGCTTCCCACCTATAACTATCATGCCAGAGACTGAAAACTATAATTTTTTGTCCCCACCCACTTGGAAAAAGCTTCCATATATCCATCCAAGTGAGATGGGCTCATTATTGAGAGGATTTTATCATCAAAGAGAAAAATAATAAAAATAAACAGCTGCCTAACTGAACAGCAACCAAAATTGAATACATAATAAAAGGTAAATAATTGAAGTTAAGTCAGTCAATACATTTCATTAGTTAGCCCGTAAGTATTATGCCAGCATTTATCACTGGCATCATTCCAACAACATCGAAGTAAGGGCATTAAAGTCCTTAAGCTCTAACAGCCAGAAGGCACAATTCAGGTCATATTAATATTAATGTTTGAAATTCACTGACTCTTCTTTCCTACCCATAACCTTGTACTGTTCTTTATTTCTTTGTGCAAAAAAAAATCTTCAAAATAATTGTATCCTTCTTATAATGTAACTTCATAGAGATTATGATCAATATCTTTATTTTACATATGATGATTATTAAATTACAATTTCCAGTTAACTCCTACTCTATGTGACTTTAAAATTTTATAAACAATTTTTATTTTCTATTTACTGAAGACCCAGAAATTGGAATTATATTTTAGAAATGAAGTGAATTATTTATTCATTCTTCTAGCTCCTATTTCAATGTCATGCTATCTTTCATTATATTCCTCATCCAAAAAAAAGCTTTGTGATTTGGTTACTTTGCTACAAGTTCACAGATTTATTTGTTTCATTTACTCATAATATTCACTGAGCACCTGCTTCCATCAAACACCTTGTAGGTGCTTGGATACATCAGCGAGCTCAACAAATTAAGATCCCTGACCTGTTGGAGTTTGTGTAGTAGCACCAGGGCATTCACATTTAATTCCTTCACACAGAAATCATTTTATATTGCTTGTAAAAATTACCTTTTTTTTTTTTTAAACAAATCTAGCACTTCATAACTGGTTTTACGGATTAATTAAATGGACAAATGACATAAATGCAGAAGGGCATTATTTGCATTATTTGAAGAGTCTTAAGATCATAAAACCTAGTAGCAACTTAGTCACAGCTTTGTGCAGGATAGGTGTACAAGCTATCCTACTACAGAGCCAAGTGAAAAATGAAGAAAATGTTTCCAAATATAGGTGCATTTTAAGGTCTCAACAGTTGAACTCATTATTTCAACAGGCAAGGAAATATTCAGTGATGGATTTTTGGCAAAGATGGGAGTGTAATAGTCAAGAAAGGAGGAGAGAGGTTCTGTGTCAGCATTTCCTCAGTCTCGTCCTTCCGCTTTCAGTGGCTTGTGGATATTAGTCCACTATATTTATGCTTAAATGGCTTCCCATTTCAAAATACTCATTGGGCTGTTCATCCCACTGCTGTTCACCTAACCACTGTTCTGAATATTTAAAATACACCTTGGTGGCAAATTCTAACCTCTAGCTAATACTTATTCTGCACTTTCTTCTGGTGTTTTTTTAATCTGTAAGCACATGTACAAAATACGAATCAGCAAACTAAATCCAATATTGTCTTTTTTTTCGCTGTTATGAAAGGTACCACACTAGGCTTTGAATACATAAAACATTTTATAAATAAAAAAGTATCTACCATTTCCACCCTTACGAATCTAGTATTCTTCTTTTTTTTTTTTTTTTTTTTTGAGACGGAGTCTCGCTCTGTCGCCCAGACTGCAGTGGCGCGATCTTGGCTCACTGCAAGCTCCGCCTCCCGGGTTCACACCACTCTCCTGCCTCAGCCTCCCGAGTAGCTGGGACTACAGGCGCCCGCCACCACGCCCGGCTAATTTTTTTGTGTTTTTAGTAGAGACGGGGTTTCACCGTGTTAGCCAGGGTGGTCTCGATCTCCTGACCTTGTGATCCTCCCGCCTCGGCCTCCCAAAGTGCTGGGATTACAGGCGTGAGCCACCGCGCCCGGCCTAGTATTCATTTTTAACAGTTGAAATAGATGGCCAATTTTACAGACACAAAAGGGTACAGCAGCATAAAGGACTTTCAACCCTGTGATGACCCCATACTTCAGCAATTTCTTAGTAAACACTGCCACCGTGTGGTGTTTCATTCTAAAATGAATTTCAGGATTTATTATACAATTGAACATTGCATAATAATACAGAATAATAAAAATTATTTTTCTTACAATGTAACATTACCGAAAAACTTATGGGCACTATTTATTACAAAGCATAAATATTAACTAAATGACTTTTATATAAATAAATACTTTTTTACTCTCTAGTTTTTAATATACAAACATTTTATAACAGTTTTACTTATCTTCATGTAAAAGAGTTTTCCTTTAAAGCTAAAAATAAGTCACTAAAAAAACAAAAATTTAAAACATAATTGTCAAAAACATAAACTAGTTTTTTTAAATATAGGTTTCAATTTGGTGCATAAAGACTATATAAAAATACTTTGAGCTTTAAAATATAATTATATCTTTGTTCAACAATTGTGCTTTAAAGTATGATTAATGTTAATTCGACTTATGTCTTTCCTTCTTTGTATTTCCAGTTTCAGTAGGATCTTAAATTACAAGGAAATTAACAGGCAAACTAGATAGAAACCTAGAGGGGTATATAATGTTTATTCTCACCTTCAAGGAGAAAAACAACTTTAAATACCTCCTGGAAAGATAAAGCAAAACTTACCATTTTTATTTTGAAAATTCTTACTGGTAAGCATTCTTTCTTATACTCTATCCAACTCTGTCATTCAACTATTTAAAGAAATTTTGTCTGAATTTGTCCTCATTGGTAATCAAAAAGTGATTCTCTAACTTCTATAAGTTCTTCAGTTTATTCGTCCCTACTCAGTGAAATTAACTATATCTCATCTAAATACAAAAAAAGAACAATATCGATGGATAAGCATGACACAACTTTCTGAACAATGTGAAAAAATACGGTAAGAAGTTTGAAATAACAAAAGTAATATTTTAGTTTAATATTTTATATAGTATGTAAAAACATGAAATCGTAAATTTTATTTAAATTTAAAATATCAATTTTATCTTGATAAAATATGACAATCTTCTCAACTCTTCAATGAAAGGATTCCTGGAGATTACCATGCTTAATTAAATATGTAGTCTTTACACTGAGACTCATGTCAAGAAAAAAGGTACAGAAGGCTTAAACTAATGAAAGAAGTCTTTAAAGAAACTCAATATCATGAAAGATAAAGTAAAACTGATTTCAAATAGTTTTTTAACCTAAAGAGCATGTTTTTCTCTGTGACAAAATTACCCCCCACAAGTGAATAAACATTGAAATCCTATCAATTACTATGTAGTATTTTCCCTCAGCAAGTTTTGCTGTTTTCCTTATTTTCAGACCTCTCATGTAATATCAGCTAGTGCTTCTGTCTCAAACAGTTTAGCTCTTACATAATAAATCAACTCAGTTGTTACTGAAATTCTTTGGGCAGGGAGAAAGTTGTCCTAACGACTACTGCAAGTCCCAAGAGTTAGAAATGGATATTGTGACTGAGTTTAGCATTATTTTTCCTGCCTATTCAATATTCTTTAATATTCAATCTTATTTCTTGACTAAGTTTAAGCATACACACTCTCTGTCTTTGTGTGTGTATACATATTTATACATATATACATATATATACATATATACATCTATGTGTGTGTATATATGTGTATATATATTTTATATATATATTTATTTATTTTAAAGACAGGGTCTCACTGTGTCACCTAGGCTGGAATGCAGTAGCATGATCACAGCTCACCAAAGCCTTGAACTTCTGGGCTCAAGTAATACTCTTGCCTTGGCCTCCAAAGTGCTGGTATCACACGCATGAGCCACCATGCCTGATTTGTGAGCACAATATTATATATGGCAACATAACAATGACTGTTCTAAAATGAGCTAAAATAATTTTGTGTATTAAAATACTTTCTTATTAGACTTTCATTTTAGACTAAAAGTCATTAGAGTTATAAGAGTTACTTCTCTTCTTGAAACTTATTATGACAAAATCTGTACCCCATGGATGCAGATAAATCCACAAAAAAAAGTTCTTCGGAAAAATTCCCCTGTTAGGTGCAGGTGGCAGAAAGGGGAGAATCTCTCCGGGACAATGATTGAGATAAACATCAGAAAATATTAGAAAAGTAAGATTGTGCTGAGTAAAGCAGAGAAAGAAATCCACACGCCACCCACAACTTTTCATAGAATAGAACAGAAGGGGCAAGATCTTTCCAAGGAATTAAAATAAGTTTTTAATAATGTAAGTTACCAAATCAGAACCTTCTTTCTCAAATTTATATAGTAAGTGAAAGCTAAACTACATAATGGAGGAAATTTCTCAAAGTTTCTAGTTAGGCATACATATCATAGAACACAGTATTGATAAATATTGTATGGATGACTTGTTTGAAAAATGCTACTAAGATAAATTCAGAGACAAGTGTAAAGCTTTATCTTGTGCGCCAAGCTACATTTCCTAAAACTCTTTATCAATTTCTGAAACTATCTCACTTCTTTGCCAAAGATATTTATGAGGCATCATTAAGTATATAACAGTATATTAGGTTTTGAAAACTAGTTTCTTGGAATAAAAAGAAAAGTGAAATAAATATCACCATTAGAATGAGCCATTCATATTAAAAATTACAGGTCATTTTGAAAAGTAATTTATTTTCAATAGGTAGCCAAGGTTTTAGTAATGTGTGGCTTTTAATATTATTTATTAACTCTATTTGTTCTATTTAGTTCTTTTTCTTACGATTTGGATAACTTTAATATGGATACTTGAATTTTAGACATTTAACCCTAGTGACATCAGAATCTGCCAAAGATAAAAACTGACCTTTTCCTACTATTTCAAAAGAAGTTCAACTTCCTAAATTTAAAATATCAGCAATGAGTCAGACTCAAACCAGTATAGTCAGTATTTTTAAAGCAGAAGTTGGAAGAGTTTTTGTTTTGTTGAAGCATTGTGTTTGTGTGTGTGTTCCATTTTGCTTCATTTTTATAAAAGCAGTATAAAACTTGGAGAATGATAAAGTTATAGATTTTAAATCCTGCAAATAATGTTTTTCTTTTATAAAAAGTTGCTGACACAGTTTTGGCTTTGGTTTTGTTGTTCTTATATAATTCTGCTTTGGTTTGTGGCCTCACAGATTTTTGAAATAATATAAAGGAGGAAGAAGCAGAACATAGTAGAAGGTTTGTACATGAGACACAAACACAGTGACTCAAAAACAATTATTTGATAAAAAAACAAAAAAATAACTCTAAAGAGAATAAGATGCAAACTATTTTTTCTTAAATTCTTGCTACAAACTACATCCTACTAAAGGCCATGATCCTAATTCTGCTTTTTCACTGTAAAAAGAGAAAGAAGAAGGAAAAAGTTAAAAAATATTAAGGATGCGTTAAAGGTGTGATTGCATCAAATTTGGACTTTTTCCTTGGCATATTTTCAGGGAATTAGAAGAGAATTGACCAAGGGAATTATTTCCTTGGTTTGAAACTTATTTGTTGAAACAACTAAAATCATCCAGGGGAGCTGGGCATGGTGGCTCATGCCTGTAATCCCAGCAGTTTTGGAGGCCAAGATGGGATAATCACTTGAGGCCAGGAGTTTGAAACCAGCATTGGGCAACATATTGAGATGCCCCTCCCCACCTAAAAAGAAAATTAAAAATTAGCAGCGCGTGGTGGTTCATGCCTGTCCTCCCAGCTACTCTGGAGGCTAAGGCAAGAGGATCACTTTAGCCCAGGAGTCCAAGTCTGCAGTGAGCTATGATCATGCCACTACACTCTAGCCTGGGTGACAGAGCAAGACTATGTTTCTTAAAAAGAATTATATAAATAAATTCATCCAGAGAACTACCAGTGTGCATGTCTCACACTCTGGGAAACAGTCATCTAGTGATCTCCCTTTTCCTGAACTTCTACAACTTTTGTCACATGTGCATCCCATGCATTCTGCACACAAAATATATCTTTGGTATTTTTTTTATTTTGGTGTTTTTAACTAACCTTAAACACTGCTTAAGAGCTAAGTCAACTAATTTTTTACTATTCCAAACTACTTATTAGGGCATGTTACACATTAAAATGTCCCTCAGTATTTGTTCATGAAGTGGTTGTACACCTAGCTTTCCAACATGCATGGAGGGCACATAAACATATTATTAGTTATGCTTGAAGTAGCCTCATGTTATATTCTGTTTCATAAGCAGATTTATTTTTCAAGGCAGCATATGTTCCAAAAGCCACTAAAATACACATGTTTGCTCAAATAAAGCTGACAATTTGATAGATTTAAGAAATGAATTTTAAGTCTCTACTCCACAGAATTATGACATATACCCCATCCAAATCCCTAGTTTGTTTGAGATTGTGTGTGATTTACTCTACATCTTACATCTACTGGCTGTCTTTCATGGCATTTGACTTATTTGAGTCTTTGCAACCTTTTTTCTGTGAACACATCTTCTGCAGTAATTATATTTTTAAATTTTCCATAATCAATACTATTGAGATATAATTTATATAAAGGAAAAAGTACCAGACAACTAGTATGTAGAACATTTTCGGTACCCAAAAAAAGTTTTTTTCTTAATCTCTTGCTGTCAGTTATCCCACCCTACAAAACCATTGATAATGGGATTGCTGGGTCAAATGGTATTTCTGTCTTTAGGTCTTTGAGGAATCACCACACGGTCTTCCACAATGGTTGAACTAATTTACGCTCCCACCAACAGTGTGTAAGCTTCCTTTTTCTCTGCAACCTCACCAGCATCTGTTACTTTTTGACTTTTTAGTAATACCATCTCACACCAGTCAGTGGCTATCTCATTGTGGTGTTGATTTGCATTTCCCTAATGATCAGTGATGTTGAGCTTTTTCTCGTATGATTTTTGGCAGCATGTATGTCTTCTTTTGAGAAGTGTCTGTTCATGTCATTTGCCCACTTTTTAATGGGATTGTTTGGTTTTTCTCTTGTAAATGTGTTTAAGTTCCTTATAGATGCTGGATATTAGGCCTTTGTCAGATGCATAGTTTGCAAAAATTTTCTCCCATTCTGTAGGTTGTCTGTTTACTCTGTTGATAGTTTCTTTTGCATTGCAGAAGCTCTTTAGTTTAATTAGATCCCGTTTGTCAGTGTTTGCTTTTGTTGCAATTGCTTTTGGCGTCTTTGTCATGAAATCATTGCCCATGCCTATGTCCTGAATGGTATTGCATACGTGGTCATCCAGGCTTTTTATAGATTTTGGGTTTTACATTTAAATCTTTAATCCTTCTTGAGTTAATTTTTGTATATGATGTAAGAAAGGGGTCCAGTTTCAATCTTCTGCCTATGGCTAGCCAGTTATCCCACTTGCAGCAGAAACTGATGGGTATGTGCTTGATCTTTCTTTACTGGAAGAGACTCTCTGTTGTCTCAGGCAGTGGTTTGGTCTGTGAAATGCCCAGTTCCCTGAGTTCCATGCAGGCCCAGGAATGGGGGACAAAGATGAGTAGATCTAGGTCCACAGTGTGTGTGGTGGGGGGTGTGGGATGAGGGTCACCTTGCTGTACCAGCCCCACCTCTATCCTGGGGCTTGTCACTTTCAGTTCAGATGGACACTGTCATTGATCTCGAGGCTGCCATGCAGCTGAGGGTCACGGAAAATACCTGTACCGTTGCTTTCCAACAGATTGGCCTCAGGAAAGACCTTTTCCCTCAGCGCAACATAGATAGCTTTGCAGCTCGTCTGATTAGCATTCCTGCAGCCGCTCCATGTAGAGAGGGAGAAGGGCCCTGCCCACTCTGTAAGCCCAGCCCAGTGGGCACACCACCCATGGGGTTGCAGTGCCCATTATAGCCTTGGAATGGCCATCCACAGGTGCAACTGTACCAACCTCCCATAAGAATAGCCAAGGCTGCCGGGCGCGGTGGCTCATGCTTGTAATTCCAGCACTTTGGGAGGCCGAGGCGGGTGGATCACGAGGTCAGGAGATCGAGACCACGGTGAATCCCCGTCTCTACTAAAAATACAAAAAATTAGCCGAGCGTGGTGGCGGGCGCCTGTAGTCCCAGCTACTCGGAGAGGCTGAGGCAGGAGAATGGCGTTAACCCGGGAGGCGGAGGTTGTAGTGAGCCGAGATCGCGCCACTGCACTCCAGCCTGGGCGACAGAGCGAGACTCCGTCTCAAAAAAGAAAGAAAGAAAAGAAAAAGAAAAGAAAAGAAAAGGAAAGAGAGAGAGAGAGAGAGAGAGAGAGAGAGAGAGAGAGAGAGAGAGAAAAGAAAAGAAAAGAAAAGAAAAGAAAAGAAAAAAGAGAGAATAGCCAAGGCTATGTGTGCAGCAGTGGGTGGGGGAAGCTGGGAGGAGAAGTCCCCCTCTTATATCTGTTTCTGAGCACGGGTGCCACCTGGCCACTGAGATAAAACCATGATCCTCCCATACAGAGCCCAGAGCTGCACCTGCATCTGTGCTGGGAGGTATGAAATCACTTTCAGCTCCCAAGCAAGTAGCTTTAGAGCACAGGAGAGTGCCACCCTAATCTCCTTTGTCCCAAGGGGTGCTTTGTTGTGCTGTACTCTTCCTCCCCCAGGGACAATCTGCTTTAATTGTTAGACCTCCAGGAATTCTGCAGCTCCCCTGAATCCTGTCAGCCTTTTGTGGTTGTCAGAATTGAGCACAGTCTGAGCACATTCTGGTGAATGTCTGTTCAGGATTGAGTGATGCAAAAATAGAAAGCCTAAGACTGCCCGGGCAGGACAGAGTCCCACGATGGGTGGGACCAGTCTCAGCTCAAGTCTGGAGAGAGGGCAAGTAACCCTGCAGGGGTGGGAGCAGGTACACCAAATGCCTGGAGGCAAAAATGCCTGGAGATATAACCAGGCAAGGAGTAGAGAAGCCACCTCTGCACAGGAAGGGAGGGGTGGCCCATGTTCCCAATCCAGTCTGTGGAGAGGGAACCACCTCCCTCCCTCTCCTCAGAACCGGTAGGGCTCACTCCCTCAACTGACTAAGGTGACTAAGGCAGCAGGCTGGGGCACCCAACAATGTCACACACAGACTAGTCCCAGGTCACAAAGCTGTTTCTGGCTGCAAATCTCACTGCCTGGGAGAAACTGCAGCTTCAGCAAGTCTCCTCCCACTTCCGTCCTGTGATGTGAGAGAGCCCAGTTCCAGCTGCAATGGCTGGAGCACACCCCATACTCATTCTGGTCTCCTTCTGCAAACCAAGTACTCCAATCTCTGGCCAGAGACTAAAATGCCTGCAGCAGCCACCACTGCCAGCTTATCAAATAATGACTGACTTAGTATGAGCCCAGATTGAAAACAGAATCTTCCTCTCAGCCCTAGGTCTGGGAAATGCCTGCAGCTTTTTCCAGTGTCCTTTTTCTCTCTCAGTCTCCCAGACTCTCCCCAAGTTAGCTTCAGGGTTTGGGAGAAACAAGTTGCTCTCCCATAGCCTGGGTTACATAAACAGCCAGTGGAAAGGTGAGTGACAGAAGAAAACTCCCCCTCTCACATATCGGGGCTTCACACACTTTCCTCAGCCAAACACTGCCACACAGGCTGCTTGCCTACCTTCTCTTTCCCAAGTGTCTGAAGTATCCTTCACTTTTTTGGTGAATTCTTAATATTTCTTCTTGAATAAATCCTCACAGTGTTAATTTAGATGCACGATTTTGCTATTTCCAAGTAGACAAGGTATGCTAAAAGCCTTTAATCCACCATCTTGGGGTAAAATTCCTGATATTGGCAATTGAGTTCCTTTCAGGTTTTTTTCTTGATAAATATAGGTAAAGACTTACCAATTTCACTTATTTGTCCAGAAACCAAGTTTTGGCTTCATTAATTTTCTCTAATATTTTGCTGCTGTTAATTTCATTGATTCATTCCTTTATTTTTATTGTTTCTTCTTACTTTTGAGTTAATTTGATTTTTGTTTTGTGATTTCTTTTAAATATTTTTTAGGACAACAGAAATTTATGATCTCACAGTTTTGGAGGCTATAAGTCCAAAATAAAGGTGTCAGCAGTGTTGCACTCCCTCTGAAGGTTCTAAAGAAGCATTTTTCTTTGACATCTAATTTCTGATGACTCCTGCAGTCACTCCAATCTCTGCCTTGGTGGTCACATAGCTCTCTTCCTTCTGTATGTCTCCCTGTCTCTGTTTTCAAATATCTTTCTCCTTTCTCTGATAAAGATCCCAGTCTTTGGGTGACATCCTAATCCAGATAACCTCATCTTGAGTTGATAACATCTGCAAAGACCCTATTTGCAGACCTACATTCAGAAGTACCATAAGTTAGGACTTCAACATGTCTTTCATGGACACAATTCAACCCGCCATACTATTAAATAGGGAGGGATTTGACTCAGTTGTAACAGAAACATTATCTATTCACAGAAATCTGGCAGTAGAGTCAGTGGCAGATGTCGACATCTTTTTTTTTTTTTTTTATTTCAGTAGTTTTTTTTTATTTCAGTAGTTTTTTTTTATTTCAGTAGTTTTTTTTTTTTTTGGAAAACAGGTGGTTTTTGGTTACATAGATAAGTTCTTTAGTGGTAATTTCTGATATTTTGGTGCACCTGTCACCTGAGCAGTGTAAACTATACATAATGTACGGTCTTTTATCCCTCACCCTCCTCCCAACCTTCCTTTTGAGTCCCTAAAGTCCATTATACCATTATTATGCCTTTGCATTCATATAGCTTAGCTCCCACTTATAAGTGAGAACACATGATATTTGGGTTTCCATTCCTGAGTTACCTCACTTAGAATAATGGTCTCCAACTCCATCCAGATTGCTGCAAATGACATTATTTTGTTCCTTTTCATGGCTGAGTAGTATTCTATATTGTATATATACCACATTTTCTTTATCTACTCATTGGTTGATGGGCATTTAGGCTGGTTCCATATTTGTGCAATTGCAAATTGTGCTGCTATAAACATGCATCTGCAAGTGTCGTTTTCATATAATAACTTCTTTCCTCTAGGTAGATACCCAGTAGTGGCATTATAGTAGGTAGCTAGGGACAGGCATGAGCATGGCAGGAGAGGGCTCCCCCAAACCCCACCAGGAACGTCAAGTGACAATCAGGTGATGGTCAGGCAGTTGTTAACCATCTCTCGAAAATAATTGGTCACAGCCAGCACCAGGAAAAGGCAGTCTCCCTATAGATAGAAAAAACCTGAAACTGGTGATGAGCAGCTCTCCAATAAGATCTCAGGAGTTGGGTGAGTGGGCTTGAGCATGTGCAATAAGAGGCAAAATGGTGGAGTTTACTGTATATGACTCAGAGACATTCCACCAATAAGGGAAGAACACCTCAAGTGAGCATGCATTCGACTCCAGTAAACACGCTGCACATGCTCACCTCTCAAGTGCTAGCAGGCCACTGCACATGCGGGCAGCCCGCCCCAAGGGAAGAATCAGGGAAAAAGAAACAGAAGACCCTGGAAGTATGCCAACATATAAAACCCTAAGTCAAAAAGTCAAACCGTGCACTTGTCTTTCTAGTCACTTTTTTGGCCCTCTTCCAAGTATACTTTCTTTCCTTTTGTTCCTGCTCTAAAGCTTTTTAATAAACTTTTGCTCGTGCTCTAAAACTTGCATCAGTCTCTCCTTCTGCCTTATGCTGCTCAGTCAAATTCTTTCTTCTGAGGAGGCAAGAACTGAGGTTGCTGCAGATCCATACAGATTTGACACTGCTAACACTGGAATTGATGAGTCAAATGGTAGTTCTACTTTTAGTTCTTTAAGGAATCAACATACTGTTTTCCATAGTGGTTATACTAGTTTACATTCCCACCAGCAGTGTAAAAGTTATTTTCACAATATGGATTCTACCCATACATGAGCATGGGATGTGTTCCCTCCACACCAACATCTATTTTTTTTTTTTAATCATGACCATTCTTGCAGGAGTAAAGTGGTATCTCATTGTGGTTTTAGTTTGTATTTCCCTGATAATTAGTGATAATGAGCATTTTTTCATATTTGTTGGCCACTTATATATATTCTTTTGAGAATTGTCTATTCATGTCTTTAACCCAATTTTTGATGGGATTATTTGTTTTTTTCTTGCTGATTTGTTTGAGTTCCTTGTAGATTCTAGATATTAGTCCTTCATCAAATGCATAGTTTGCTAATATTTTCTCTCATTCTGTGGGTTGTCCATGTACTCTGCAGATTGTTTCTTTCGCTGTACAGGAGCTTTATAGTTTAATTAGGTCCCATATGTTTATTTTTGTTTTTGTTGCATTCGCTTTTGCATTCTAGGTCATGAATTTTTTGCCTAAGCCAATGTCTAGAAGAGTTTTTATGATATTATCTCCCAGAATTTTTATGGATTCGGGTCTTGTATTTAAGTATTTGATCCATCTTGAGTTGATTTTTGTATAAGGTAAGAGATGAGGATCCAGTTTCATTCTTCTACATGTGGCTTGCCAATTATCCTAGCACCTTTTGTTGAGTAGGGTGTCCTTTCCATACTTATGTTTTGTTTGCTTTGTTGAGGATCAGTTGACTATAAACACTTGGCTTTATTTCTTGGTTCTCTATTCTGTTCCATTGGTCTACATGGCTATTTTTATACCAGTACCATGCTGTTTGGGTGACGATACCCTTGTAGTATAGTTTGAAATCAGGTAATGTGATGCCTCCAGATTTGTTCTTTTTGCTTAGTCTTGCTTTCACTACGCAAGCTCAGTTTTGGTTCCATATGAATTTTAGGATTGTTTTTTCTAGTGATGTGAAGAATGATAATGGTACTTTGATGGGAATTGCATTGAATCTTGTTCTTGGCAGTATAGTTATTTTCACAATATTGATTCTACCCATCCATGAGCATTTGTTTGTGTTGTCAATGATTTCTTTCAGCAGTGCTGTGTAGTTTTCCTTAGAGAGATCTTTCACCTCCTTAGCTAGGTATATTCCTAAGGTTTTTTTGGTTTTGGGGTTTTTTTAATTTTTAAGTTCCAGGGTATATGTGCAGGATGTTCAGGTTTGTTACATAGGTAAACGTGTGCCATGGTGGTTTGCTGCACCTATCAACCCATCACCTAGGTATTAAGTGTGGCATGCATTAGCTATTTTTATTGATGCTCTCCCTACCCCCTGTCCTCTTCCAACAGGTCCCAGTGTGTGTTGTTTCCTTCCCTGTGTCCATGTGTTCTCATTGTTCAGCTCTTACTTATAAGTGAGACCATGCCATGTTTGGTATTCTGTTCCTGCGTTAGTTTGCTGAGGATAATGGCTTCCAACTTCATCCATGTCCCTGCAAAGAACATGATCTCATTTCCTTTTATGGCTGCATAGTATTTCATGGTGTATATGTACCAAATTTTCTTTATCCAGTCTATCAGTGATGGGCATTTAGGTTGAGTCCATGTCTTTGCTATTGCGAATGGTGCTGCAATAAACATAATGCATGCATGCATATTTATAACAGAATTGTTTTATTCCTTTGGGTACATACCCAGTAATGGGATTGCTGGGTCAAATGTTATCTTTGACTCTGGATTTTTGAGGAATCACCGCACTGTCTTCCACAGTGGTTGAACTAATTTACACTCCCACAAACAATGTAGAAGAATTCCTATTTCTCCACAGCCTTGACAGCATCTGTTGCTTCTTGACTTTTTAGTAATCACTATTCTGTCTGGAACGAGGTTTTGATTTGCATTTCCCTGATGATTAGTGATGTTAGGCATTTTTTCATGTTCGTTGGCCCCATGTATGTCTTTTTTTTGAGAAGTGTGTTCATGTCCTTTGCACACTTTTTAATGGGGTTGTTTCTTGTTTTCTTATAAATTTGTTTAAGTTCCCTGTAGATTCTGGATATTAGACCTTTGTCCGATGGATACATTGAAAAAAAATTCTCCCATTCTGTAGATTGTCTGTTCCCTCTAATGATAGTTTCTTTTGCTGTGCAGAAGCTCTTTAGTTTAATTAGATCCCATTTGTCAATTTTTGCTTTTGTTGCAATTGCTTTTGGCGAGTTCATCATAAAATCTTTGCCCATGCCTATGTCTTGAATGGTATTGCCTAGATTTTCTTCTAGGGTTTTTATAGTTTTGGCCTTTACATTTAAGTCTTTAATCTATCTTGAGTTAATTTTTGTATAAAGTGTAAAAAAGAGGTCAGTTTCAATTTTCGGCATATGGCTAGCCAGTTCTCCCAGCACCATTTATTAAACGGAATCCTTTCCCCATTGCTTGCTTTTTGTTATTGTTGTTATTATTGGGTTTTTTTAGACAGAGTAACGCCATCACCGAGGCTGGAGTGCAGTGGCATGATCTCAGCTCACTGCAACCTCCACCTCCTGAGTTCAAGCTATTCTCGTGCCTCAGCCTCCCAAGTAACTGGAATTGCAAGCATGCATCAATATGCCTGGCTAATTTTGTGTTTTTAGTAGAGACAGGGTTTTGCCATGTTGGCCAGGCTGGTCTCAGACTCCTGAGGTCAAGTGATCTGTCAGCCTTAGCCTCCCAAAGTGCTTGGATTATAGGCATGACCTACCATGCCCAGCCTGTTGCAAATGCTTTTGGTGATTTCATCATAAAATCTTTGCTCATGCCTATGTCCTGAGTGGTATTGCCTAGATTTTCTTCTAGGGTTTTTATAGTTTTGGGTTTTACAGTTAAGTACTTAATATATCTTGGGTTAATTTTTGTATAAAGTGTAAGGAAGGGGTCCAGTTTCAATTTTTTGCATATGGCTAGCCAGTTCTCCCAGCACAATTTATTAAATAGGGAATTATTTTCCTATTGCTTGTTTTTGTCAGGTTTGTCCAACATCAGATGGTTGTAGATGTGCAGTTTTATTTCTGAGTTCTCTGTTCTGTTCCATTGGTCTATGTGCCTGTTTTTGTACCAGTACTATGCTATTTTGGTTACTGTACCTTTTGGTATAGTTCGAAGTTGGGTACCGTGATGCCTCCAGCTTTGTTCTTTTTGCTTAGGATTGTCCTGGCTATAGGAGCTCCTGTTTTGGTTCCACATGAATTTTAAAATAGTTTATTCTGATTCTGTGAGGAATATCAATGGTAGTTTAATGAGAATAGCATGAATCTATAAATTGTTTTGGGGAGTATGGCCATTTTCATTATACTGATTTTCATATTTATAAGCATGGAATGTTTTTTCACCTGTTTGTGTCTTCTCTAATTTCCTTGGATCAGTGGCTTGTAGTTCTTGAAGATGTCCTTCATTTCCCTTGTTAGCTGTATTCCTAGGTATTTTATTCTCTTTCTGGCAATTGTGAATCAGAGTTAATTCATGATTTGGCTCTCTGCTTGTCTGTTTTTGGTGTATAGGAATGCTTGTGATTTCTGCACATTGATTTTGTATCCTGAGACTTTGCTGAAGTTGCTTATCAGCTTAAGAAGCTTTGCAGCTGAGATGATGCGGTTTTCCAGATATAGGAACATGTCATCTGCAAGCAAAGACAATTTGACTTCCTCTCTTCCTATTTAAATACTCTTTATTTCTTTATCTTGCCTGATTTCCCTGGCCAGAACTTCCAATACTATTTTGAATAGAAGTGGTGAGAGAGGGCATCCTTGTCTTGTGCCAGTTTTCAAGGGGAATGCTTCAAGCTTTTGCCCATTCAGTATGATATTGGCTGTAGGTTTGACATAGATAGCTTTTACCATTTCGAGGATTGTGAGTATTTTATTGATGATTTTTGCATCAATGTTCATCAGGGATATTGGCCTGAACTTTTCTTTTTTTGTTGTATCTCTGTGAAGTTTTGGTATCAGTATGATGCTGGCCTCATAAGATGAGTTAGGGAGAAGTCTATCCTTTTCAGTTGTTTGGAATAGTTTCAGATAAATGTACCATTGGTAGAATTCAGCTGTAAATTCATCTGGTCCTGGACTTTTTTTGGTTGGTGGGCTATTTATTACTGACTCAATTTCAGAACTTGTTATTGGTCTATTCAGGGATTCAACTTCTTCCTGGTTCAGTCTTAAATGGGCATATGTGTCCAGGAATTTATCCATTTCTTCTAGATTTTCTAGTTTATATGCATAGGGATGTGTATAGTATTCTCTGATGGTTGTTTGTATTTCTGTGGGGTCAGTGGTGACATTCCCCCTTATCATTTCTGCTTATGTTTCTTTATATCTTCTCTTTTTTTCTTCTTTATTAGTCTAGCTAGTGGATGATCTATTTTATTGACTTTTTTTTTTTACTAGCTCCTGGATTCATCGATTTTTGTTTTTTTGAAGGGTTTTTTCATGTCTCTGTCTCCTTCAGTTCCACTTTGAGCTTGGTTATTTCTTGTCTTCTGCTAGCTCTGGGGTTTGTTTCTCTTGTTTCTCTAGTTCTTTTTGTTGTAATGTTAGGATGTCGATATGAGATCTTTCTAGCTTTTTGATGTGAATATTTAGTGCTACAAATTCCCTTTTTAACACTGTTTTAGCTCCATCCCAGAGGTTCTGGTTCATTTTCTCTTTGTTCTCATTAGTTTCAAAGAACTTCTTGGTTTCAGCCTTAATTTCATTAATTTACCCAGGAGTCATTCAGAAGTAGGTTGTTCAGTTTCCATGTACTTTTGTGGTTTTTAGTCAGTTTCTTAATCTTCAGTTCTAATTTGATTGTGCTGTGATCTGAGAGACTGTTATGATTTCAGTTCTTTTGCATTTGCTGAGAAGTGTTTTACTTACAATTATATCATTTTAGAGTAAGTGTCAAGTGGCACTGAGAAAAAAAAATGTATATTCCGTTGTTCTGGGGTGGAGAGTTCTGTAGATATCTCTCAGGTCCACTTGATCCAAGGCTGAGTTCAAGTCCTGAATATCTTTGTTAATTTTCTGTCTTGATGATCTATCTAATATTGGCAGTGGGGCGTTAAAGTCTCCCACTATTATTGTGTGAGAGTCTAAGTCTCTTTGAAGGTCTTTAAGAATTTGTTTTATGAATCTGCATGCTCCTGTATTGGGTACATATATATTTAGGATAGTTAGCTCTTCTTGTTGAATTCAGCCCTTTACCATTATGTAATGCCCTTCTTTGTCTTTCTTGACCTTTGTTGGCTTAAAGTCTATTTTGTCAGAAACTAGAATTTCAACCCCTGCTTTTTTCTGCTTTCCATTGGCTTGGTAAATTTTCCTCTATCCCTTTATTTTGAGCCTATGTGTGTCTGCACATCAGATGTGTCTCTTGAATACAGCACACTGATGGGTATTGTCTTTTTATCCAGCTTTCCATTCTTTGTCTTTTAATTGTGGAATTTAGCACATTTAAATTTAAGGTTAATATTTTTAGGTGTTAATTTGTGCCTGTCATGATGCTGGCTGGTTAATTTTGCAGACTTGTTAATGTAGTTGCTTCATAGTGTCATTGGTCTGCGTACTTTGATGTATTTTTGTAGTGGCTGGTAACAGTTTTTCCTTTCCATGTTTAGTGATTCCTTCAGGAGCTCTTGCAAGGCAGGCCTGGTGGTGATGAAATCCCTCAGCATTTGCTTGTCTGAAAAGGATTTTATTTCTCCTTCGCTTATGAAGCTTAGTTTGGCTGGATATGAAATTCTGGGTTAGAAATTCTTTTCTTTAAGAATGTTGAATATTGGCCCCCAATCTCTTCTGGCTTGTAGGGTTTCTGCTGAAAGGTCCACTGTTAGTCTAATGGGCTTCCCTTTGTGGGTGAACTTGCCTTTCTCTCTGGCTACCCCTAACATTTTTTCCTTCATTTCAACCTTGGAGAATCTGACGATTATGTGTCTTGGAGTTGTTCTTGTGGAGTATCTTATTGGGGTTCTCTGGATTTCCTGGATTTGAATGTTGGCCTGTCTTGCTAGGTTGGGGAAGTCCTCCTGGATGATATCTGAAGTGTGTTTTCCAACTTGGTTGCATTCTCCCGATCTCCTTCAGGTACTCCAATCAGTCATAGGTTTGGTCTTTTTACATAGTCCCATAGTTCTCATAGCTTTTGTTCATTCCTTTTCATTCTTTTCTCTCTAATCTTGTCTGTTTGCCTTATTTCAGCAAGATAGTCTTCAAGCTCTGATATTCTCTCCTCCACTTGTTTGATTCAGCTATTGGTATTTGCATTTGTATCATGAAGTTCTCATGCTGTGTTTTTCAGCTCCATCAGGTCATTTATGTTCCTCTCTAAACTGGTTATTCTAGTTAACAGCTCCTGTAATCTTTTATCATGGTTCTTAGCTTCTTTGCATTGAGTTAGAACATAATCCTTTAGCTCAGTGAAGTTCATTATTACTCGCTTTCTGAAGCCTGCTTCTGTCAGTTCATCCATCTCAGCTTTAGACCCGTTCTACGCCCTTGCTGGAGAGGTTGTGATCATTTGGAGGAAAAGAGGCATTCTGGATTTTGGAATTTTCAGGGTTTTTGAACTGGTTTTCCTCATCTTTGTGGATTTATCTACCTTTGATCTTTGAGGCATTGACCTTTGGATGCGGTTTTTGTGGCATCTTTTTTCTTGGTGTTGTTGTTGTCATTGCTTTCTGTTTGCTTTTCTTTTAACAGGCCCCTCTTCTGCAGGTCTGCTGCAGTTTGCTGAAGGTCCACCCCAAACCCTGTTTGCCTGGGTATCACTGGTGGAGGCTGCAGAACAGCAAAGATTGCTGCTTGTTCCTTCATCTGGAAGCTTCATCCCAAGGGGGGCACTGACCTGATGGCAGCCAGAACTCTCCTATATGAAGTGTCTGGTGACGTCTCTTGGGAGATCTCACACAGTCAGGAGGCACAGTATCAGGGACCCACTTAAGGAGGCAGTCTGGCTGCCCCTTAACGGTGTAGGTTCACTGCCGCGGGGGGAATTCCCCTCGTCCAGATTGTCTGGACTCTTCAGAGCCAGCAGGCAGGAACGATTAAGTCTACTGAATCTGAGACCATGGCCGCCCCTCCCCCCAGGTCCTCTGACCCAGGGAGATGGGAGTTCTGTCTAATAAAACTCTGACTGGAGTTGCTGGAATTCCTGCAGAGAGGCCCTACCCAGTGAGGAGAGATGGATCTGGTTCCTACTTAAAGAAGCAGTCTGGCCATGATTTGCCATAGCCACTGTACTGTGCTGTGGGAAATTCCGCCCAGTCCAAACCTCACAGTCTCCCTAGCACTGGCAGGGGAAAGCTACTGACTAGATCCACAGTAATGGCAGTCACCCCTCCCCTCAGGAACTCTGTCATCTTGGGCCGACTCCAGGCTGCTGTGCTGGCCAGTGGAGATTCCAAGCCAGTGGGTCTTAGCTTGCAGGGTTCTGTGGGAGTGGGACCCACTAAGTGAGTCTGCTTGGTTCCCTGGCTTCAGCCCCCTTTCCACAGGAGTGGATGGATCTCCTGCCTCACTAGAGTTCCAGGAGCTGCCAAAGTATGCAAAAAATGCAGCTCAATGCCTGCCCCAAGTGGCTGCCTACCCTAGCAGCTGCCATGGATCTCCACAGCTTTGTGCTTGGGGCCCAGGGACCTGGTAGTGTAGGAACATGAGGGAATCTCCTGATCCATGGGTTGAAAAACTCTGTGGGAAAAGCATAGTTCTCCAGGTGGGTAGCACAATCCCTCACTGCGGGAGTGAGGTCCCTTTGCCCCGTGAAGCTCCTGAGTAAACCATCACCCTACCCTGCTTTTTCTTGCACTCTGTGGGTTGCACCAACCACCTAGTCAGTCCCAATGAGAGAATCCCGGTATCTCAGAAAGGCAGAATTCACTCGCTGTTTACGGTCCTCTCCTTGGGAGCTGCAGACAGGAGCTGTTTCTACTTGGCCATATCGGCCCCTCCCCTTCACAGTTGGCTTCTTCTAAGTTGTTTTTGTTTGCTTGTTTGTTTTGCAGCTGTTGTAAAAGGGGGTTGAGTTCTTGATTTTTTTCTCAGCTTGGTTGTTGTTGGTGCATAGCCGTGCTACTGATTTTTTTACATTGATTTTGTATCCTGATACTTTGCTGAATTCATTTATCAGATGTGGGAGCTTTTTCATTGAGTAGAGATTTCTAGGTATACGATCATATCATCACTAAAAAGCAACAGCTTGGCTTCCTTTTTACTGATTTGGATGAACTTTATTTCTTCTTGTCTGATGCTCTGTCTAGGACTTCCAGTACTGTGTTGAATACAAGTGGCAAAAGTGGGTATCCTTGTCTTGTCCCAGTTCTCAGGGCAAATGCTTTCAACATTTCCCCATTCCATATAATATTGGCCATGGGTTTTTCATAGATGGCTTTTATGATCTTGAGCTATGTCCCTTCTATGCCAATTTTGCTGAGGCTTTCAATCATAAAGGGTGCTAGATTTTCTCAAATGCTTTTTGTGCATCTATTGAGATGATCATATGATTTTTGTTTTTAATTATGTTTATCTGATGTATCACATTTATTGTTAATCCTTCCCTGATCCCTGGTATAGAACCCACTTGATCATGGTATATTATCTTTTTAATATGCTGTTGGGTTAAGTTAGCTAGTATTTTCTTGAGGATTTTTGGATCTATATTCATCACGGTATTGGTCTGTAGTTTTCTTTTTTGTTATGTCCTTTCCTGGTTTTGGTATTAACGTGATACTGACTTCATAGAATTATTTAGGGAGGATTGCCTTGTTCTCTATCTTTTGAAGTAGTTTCAGTAAGATTGGTACCGTTTCTTCTTTGAATGTTGGATAGAACTCAGCCATGAATCCATCTGGTCCTGGACATTTTTTGTTGGCAATTTTTAAATTATTGTTTCAGTCATGCTACTTGTTATTGGTCTGTTCAGAGCTTCTATTTCTTCCTGATTTAACCTAGGAGGGTTGTATATTTCCAGAAATTTATCCGTCTCCTCTAGATTCTCTAGTTTTGTGTGTAAAAGTATTTATAGCAACCTTGAATAGTCTTTTGCATTTCTGTGGTATCAGTTGTAGTATCTCCCTTTTCATTTCTAATTGAGTTTTCTTGGATCTTCTCTCTTCTTTTCTTGGTTAATCTCACTATTGGTGTATCAATTTTGCTTATCTTTCCAAAGAAACAGCTTTTTGTTTCATTTGTCTTTTGTATTTGTTTCCATTTCATTTAGTTCTGCTCTGGTCTTTGTTATTTCTTCTATTCTGCTGGGTTTGGGTTTGGTTTGTTCTTATTTCTATAGTTCCCTGAGGTGTGAGCTTGAGGTTAAGATTGTCTGTTTGCACTGTTCCAGACTCCATGATGTGGGCATTTAATGCTATAAACTTTCCTCTTAGCACAGCTTTTGCTGTATCCCAGAGGTTTTGATACATTGTATCACTATTTGTTCAACTCAAAGAATTTTTTAATTTCCACCTTGATTTCATTGTTGACCCAAAGATCATTCAAGAGCAAATTATTTAATTTCCATGTATTTGTATAGTTTTAAGGGTTCCTTTTGGAGTTAATTTCCAGGTTTTTTCCACTATGGTCTGAGAGGATACTTGATATAATTTTGATTTTCTTAAATTTACTGAGACTTGTTTTGTGACCTATCATATGGTTTATCTTGGAGAATGTTCCATGTGCTGAAGAAAAGAATGTATATTCTGCAGTTGTTGGATAGAATGTTCTGTAAATATCTGTTAAGTCCGTATGTTGTAGGGCATAGTTTAAGTCCATTGTTTCTTTGCTGACTTTATGTCTTGATCACCTGTCTAGTGCTGTCAGTAGAGTACTGAAGTCCCCCACTATTACTGTGTTGTCATCTATCTGATTTCCTAGGTCTAGTAGCAATTGTTTTATAAATTTGGGAGTGCCAGTGTTAGGTACATATACATTTAGGATTGTGATATTTTCCTGTTGGACTAATCCTTTTATTATTATATAATGTCCCTCTTTGTCTTTTTTTATTTTTTATTTTTTTTCTGTTGTTGCTTTAAAGTCTGTTTTGTTTGATATAAGAATAAAAGAATAGCTATTCCTGCTTGCTTGGTTTCCATTTGCATGGAATATCTTTTTCTACTCCTATACCTTAAGTTTATGTGAGTGCTTATGTTTTAGGTGAGTCTCTTGAAGACAGCAGATACTTGGTAGGTTGATATTTATCCATTCTGTATCTTTTAAGTGAAGCATTTAGGCCATTTACATTCAACATTAGTATCGAGATGTGAGGTATTGTTCTATTCAATACTAAAGCTGTTGCCTTAATACCTTCTGTTATTTTTTTCATTGTGTTATTGTTTTATAGGCCCTGTGATCTTTATCCTTTAAGGAGGTTCTATTTTGGTATATTTCCAGGGTTTGTTTCAAGATTTAGAACTCGGCTGGGTATGGTGGCTCACATCTGTAATCCAAGCACTTTGGGAGGCCAAGGCGGGTGGATCACTTGAGGTCAGGAGTTCAAGACCAGCCTGACCAACATGGGGAAATCCTGTCTCTACTAAAAATACAAAAACTAGCTGGGCATGGTGCCATGCACCTGTAATCCCAGCTACTCAGGAGGCTGAGGCAGGAGAATCACTTGAACCCAGGAGACGGAGGTTGCAGTGAGCTGAGATCATGCCACTGCACTCCAGCCTGGGTGACAGAGTGAGATTTAGAACTCCTTTTAACATTTCTTGTAGTGCTGGCTTGATAGTGGCAAATTCTCTCAGCATTTGTTTGTTTGAAAAAGATTTTATCTCTCCTTCATTTATGAAGCTTAGTTTTGCCAAATACAAAGTTCTTGGCTGGTAATTGTTTTGTTTCAGGAGAGTAAAGATGGGACCCCAATTCCTTCTGGCTTATAAGGTTTCTCCTGAGAAATCTGCTGTTAATCTGATAGGTTTTTCTTTTAGAGGTTATCAGATGCTTTTGTCTTACAGCTCTTAAGATTATTTTGTTCATCTAGACTTTAGATAACTTGATGACTATGTGCCTAGGTGATTATCTTTTTGTGATGAATTTCCTGGGTGTTTTTTGAGCTTCTTTTATTTGGATGTCTAGATCTCTAGCAATGCCAGGGAAGTTTTCCTCAATTATTCCCTCCAATAAGTTTTCCAAACTTTTGAATTCTCTTTCTCCTCAGGAACATGAATTATTCTCAGGTTTGGATGTTTAACATAATCTCAAATTTCTTGGAGGCATTGTTCATTTTTTTAAAATTCTTTTATCTTTGTCTTTGTCAGATTGGGTTAATTCAAAAGCCTTTTCTTCCAGCTCTGATGTTCTTTCTTCTACTTGTTGTATTCTACTGTTGAAACTTTTCAGTGTGTTTTGCCTTTCTCTAAGTTTATCTTTAGTGTCCAGAAGTTGTGATTGTTTTTTCTTTATGGTATCTATTTCTCTGGAGAATTTTTCTCCTATAATATGTATTTTTAAAAAATTTCCTTAAGTTGATTTCACCTTTCTCTGGTATTTCCTTGAGTAGCTTGATAATCAACTTTCTGAATTCTTTATCTGGCAAGTCTGAGATTTCTTCCTGGTTCACATCCATTGCTGGGGAGCTAGTGTAATCTTTTGGGGGGCGTTATACTAATAGAACCCTGTTTTGTCATATTAGCAGAATTACTTTTCTGTTTGCTTCTCAATTGGGTACACTATTTCTGTGGAGAGGTCTGAAACTCAATGCCTGATGTTCAGATTATCTTGTCCCATGAGGTGATTCTTTGATGTGGTGTTCTCCCCCTTCCTCTAGCGATGGGGCATCCTGAGAGCTGAACTGCAGATATTGTTATCACTCTTCTGGGTCTAGCCACCCAGAGGTGCCAATAGGCTCCAGCCTGTTGCTAGGGAATGTCTGCAAACAGTCCTATGATGTGATCCATCTTCATGTCTCCCAGCCATGGATACCAGCTCCTGCTCTAGTAGAGGTGGCAGGGAAATGAAGTCAACTGTGAGAGTCCTTGATTATAGATACATTTAGTATGCTGGCTTTCTTAAATGCTGGTTAAATTAACAGTGAAGTTTTCACATAGACACACTTGAGACCTCTGGTTAGCTAGTATGTTGCAGGCATTGGAATTAGGTGTTGTGTTCTCCTTCCTAGGATCAAGGTTACTCTGTCATGAGTTGCTATAATGGCTTGAGTTGGTTGGCCTCCAGCCAGGAGGTGGTGCTTTCAAGACAGTACCAGCGGCAGTAGTAGTAGGGGCATCTAAGCTTGCCCTAAGTTGTCCAGGGGAGGTACGTTGGTTTCTCAGGTGATGGATGGGGTCATAAAACTCCCAAGAGTTTCTGTCTTTTGTGTTTGGCTACCAACGCAGGTAGAGAAATACTATCAGGTAGAAACAGGGTTAGGCAAGTCTGGGCTCAGACTCTCCTTGGGTAGGGCTTGTCATGGCCACTGTGGGGGATGAAAGGTGGTTCTCAGGCCAACGAGATGATGTTCCAGAAGGGATCTTGGCCACCTGTGCTGTATCATATAGTTTGCCAGGGAAGTGGGGGATAGCCAGTAGCAAGAGGCCTCACACAGCTCCCACACAGTCGGTGGGCCAGTCTTACTCCTGCAGTGCCCTGCTCAGACTTTGCCCCAGGCCCTGAGCTTCCCTACTGAAAAAGCAAGCATGGCTTTCAGGCCTTACCCCTCCCTGTCTGCCCAATCCATCAGTGGCAGCTCCTGCACCCTGCACTTGCATCTGCAGCTGCTCCTGCTCATCTCCTCAATTCCACTCAAGAAAATTGTGCCCAGTTGAAAACACTACCAATTTCACTTGGAAGCTTCTTTTGCCCTGTGACCCATCCCCAATTCCACTGGCTGCCTTCCTTGAGAGCCTCTGTTAAGTATAGTCAGGGATGGCTTCCCTGGGCTCGAGCTAGAGACTGGGAGTGCCTGTCAGGCCCCTCCCATTACTATTTATACTTTTATATTTCACACGACGCCCTAAGTCTGTTTCAGCTCTAGGTAAGGTTAAATCCTTCTCCTGTGATCTGAATGTTCAGATTCCCCAGGGGAGCTGTGTGTTTGGAGGCAGGTTTCCCCACCTCACACTTTGGGAACTCAGTTTTTTACCTGTTTTGCAGAATTGGCACTATTGTGCCACTTCTTTCAAAGAACCTGTGAATTATTTTGGTTTTCCTGGTACATTCCTGCAATGGTTCTTGGAGCAAAAAATCATAGTGTAATTCTCCATATGCTGTTCTCTCTGTCCAAGTGGGAGCGGCACATTAGCCCTGTCTCCTATCTGTCACCTTGTCTGATATCCCTCTCCTTTTTGTCATTTCTTAATACAAATTTAAATCAGTCATTTTTTGACATTCCTTTTTATTAATATAATCATTTAAATCCATGCATTTTCCTCAAATTAACATTTTAGAAATGCTCCATTAATTTTTATATTCTGAAATGTCATTTTCATTTCCCAAACTTTTTCTATTTCCCCTTGTGAGATGTTCTTTGTCTCATGAAGTATTTAGGCATTTATATTTAATGCAATTCTCAATATGGTTTAAATCTACCATCTTCCTTTTCTTTTTTCATTTGTCTCATTTTTTCTTATTCCTTTTTTCCTTTTTGGAGGGGATTGAGTACTTTATTATTACTCCATTTTATTTTTACAGTTAGCTTATTATTATGTCTACCTCTATGATTTCTTAGTGTTTTTCTGTTATCAATATCCATCTTTAATTAATTACAGTGTATCTTCAAATAATATACTGCTTCCCATATAAGAAACTTACAATTTATTTTCATTTGTCCCTTCTGTACTTTGGGCTATTGTCATTTTGCTTTTTAGCTCTATGTCCATTTTACTTCTGGAAATGTTACAAAACCTACACAACATTTCACTATTGTGTTTCAGACCTACTTTAGACCTGTTTTCCATTCCGAGTACTCTTGAGTTTTGTGTAGATCCAAGATTCCATATCATGTCCGTCTCTTTCTGACTGAAGAACTTACTAGAACATATCCTATAATGAAGTTCTTCTGGCAATAAATTTTCCAATATTTATTTTTGTCTAAAATTTATTTATTTCACCTTCCTTTATGAAAAATCTTTTTTTTAAATTGTACTTTAAGTTCTAGGGTACACGTGCACAACGTGCAGATTTGATACATAGGTATACACATGCCATGTTGGTTTGCTGCACCCATCAACTCATCATTTACATTACGCATTTCTCCCAGTGCTATCCCTCCCCTAGCCCTCCGACAGACCCTGGTGTGTGATGTCCCCTGCCCTGTGTCCAAGTGATCTCATTGTTCAATTTCCATCTATGAGTGAGAACATGCGGTGTTTGGTTTACTGTCCTTGTGATAGTTTGCTGAGAATGATGGTTTCCAGCTTCATCCATGTCCCTGCAAAGGACGTGAGCTCATCCTTTTTTATGGCTGCATACTATTCCATGGTGTATATGTGCCAATTATTCTTAATCCAGTCTATCATTAATGGACATTTGGGTTGGTTCCAAGTCTTTTCTATTGTGAATAGTACCGCAATAAACATACCTGTGCATGTGTCTTTATAGTAACATGATTTATAATTCTTTGGGTATATACCCAGTAATGAGATTGCTGTGTCAAATGGTAATTCTAGTTCTAGATCCTTGAGTAATCGCCACACTGTCTTCCACAATGGTTGAACTAATTTACACTCCCACCAACAGTGTAAAAGTGTTCCTATTTCTCCACATCCTCTCCAGCATCTGTTGTTCCCTGACATTTTAATGATTGCCATTCTAACTGGCATGAGATGATATCTCATTTTGTGTTTGATTTGCATTACTTTGATGACCAGTGATGATGAACATTTTTTCCTCTGTCTGATGGCTGCATAGATGTCTTCTTTTGAGAAGTATCTGTTCCTGTCCTTTGCCCACTTTTTGATGGAGCTGTTTGTTTTTTTCTTGTAAATTTGTTTCAGTTCTTTGTAGATTCTGGATATTAGCCCTTTGTCAGATGGGTAGATTGCAAAAATTTTCTCCCATTCTGTAGGTTGCGTGTTCACTCTGATGATAGTTTCTTTTGCCATGCAGAAGATCTTTAGTTTAATTAGATCCCATTCGTCTATTTTGGCTTTTGTTGCCATTGCTTTTGGTGTTTCAGTCATGAAGTCCTTGCCCATGCCTATGTCCTGAATGGTATTGCCAAGGTTTTCTTCTAGAGTTTTTATGGTTTCAGGTCTAACATTTAAGTCTTTAATACATCTTGAATTAATTTTTGTATGACGTGGAAGGAAGAGATCCAGTTTCAGCTTTCTACATATGGCTAGCCAGTTTTCCCAGCACTATTTATTAAATAGGGAATATTTTCCCTATTTCTTGTTTTTGTCAGATGTGTCAAAGATCAGATGGTTGTAGATGTGCAGCATTCTTTCTGAGGCCTCTGTTCTGTTCCATTAATCTATTTATCTGTTTTGGTACCAGTACCATGCTGTTTTGGTTACTGTAGCCTTGTAGTATAGTTTGAAGTCAGGTACTGTGATGCCTCCAGCTGTGTTCTTTTTGCTTAGGATTGACTTGGCAATGAGGGCTCTTTTTTGGTTCCATATGAACTTTGAACTAGATTTTTCCAATTCTGTGAAGAAAGTCATTGGTAGCTCGATGGGGATAGCATTGAATCTATAAATTACTTTGGGCAGTATGTCCATTTTCACGATATTGATTCTTCCTATCCATGAGCATGGAATATTCTTCCATTTGTTTATGTCCTCTTATTCAATTGCGCAGTGGTTTGTAGTTCTCATGGAAGCGGTCCTTCACATCCCTTGTAAGTTGTATTTCTAGGCATTGTATGCTCTTCATAGCAATTGTGAATGGGAGTTCACTCATAATTTGGCTCTCTGTTTGTCTATTCTTGGTGTATAGGAATGCTTGTGATTTTTGCACATTGATTTTGTATCCTGAGACTATTGCTGAAGTTGCTAATCAGCTTAAGGAGATTTTGGGCTGAGATGATGGGGTTTTCTAAATATACAATCATGTCATCTGCAAGCAGAGACAGTTTGACTTCCTCATTTCCTAACTGAACACTCTTTATTTCTTTCTCTTGCCTGATTGCCCTAGCCAGAACTTCCAACACTATGTTGAATAGGAGTGGTGAGAGAGGGCATCCTTGTCTTGTGCTGGTTTTCAAAGGGAATGCTTCCAGTTTTTGCCCATTCAGTATGATATTGGCTGTGGGTTTGTCATAAATAACTCTACTATTTTGAGATATGTTCCATCAATAGCTAGTTTATTGAGATTTTTTAGCATAAAGGGCTGTTGAATTTTGTTGAAGGCCTTTTCTGCATCTGTTGAGATAATCATGTGTTTTTGTTGTTGATTCTGTTTATGTGATTACATTTATTGATTTGCATATGTTGAACCAGCCTTGCATCCCAGGGATGAAGCCTGCTTGATCGTGGTGGATAGACTTTTTGATGCGCTGCTGGATTTGGTTTGCCAGTATTTTATGAAGGATTCTTGCATCGATGTTCATCAGGGATATTGGTCTAAAATTCTCTTTTTTTGTTGTGTCTCTGCCAGGCTTTGGTATCAGGATGATGTTGGCCTCATAAAATGAGTTAGGGAGGATTCTCTCTTTTTCTGTTGATTGGAATAGTTTCAGAAGGAATGGTACCAGCTCTTCTTTGTACCTCTGGTAGAATCATACTGTGAATCCATCTGGTCCTGCACTTTTTTGGTTGGTAGGCTATTAATTATTGCCTCAATTTCAGAGCCTGTTTTTGGTCTATTCAGAGATTCAACTTCTTCCTGGCTTAGTCTTGGAAAAGTGGCTGTGTGCAGGAATTTATTCATTTCTTCTAGATTTTCTAGTTTATTTGCGTAGAACTGTTTATAGTATTCTCTGATGGTAGTTTGTATTTCTGCAGGATCAGTAGTGATATCCCCTTTATCTTATCATTTTTTATTGTGTCTATTTGATACTTCTCTCTTTTCTTCTTTGTTAGTCTTGCTAGTGGTCTATTATTTTTGTTGATCTTTTCAAAAAAACAGCTTCTGGATTCATTGATTTTTTGAAGGTTTTTTTGTGTCTCTATCTCTTTCTGTTCTGCTCTGATCTTAGTTATTTCTTGCCTTCTGCTAGCTTTTGAATTTGTTTGCTCTTGCTTCTGTAGTTCTTTTAATTGTGATGTTAGAATGTAGATTTTAGATCTTTCCTGCTTTCTCTTGTGGGGTTTAGTGATATAAATTTCCCTCTACACACTACTTTAAATGTGACCCAGAGATTCTGGTATGTTGTGTCTTTGTTCTCACTGGTTTCAAAAAACATCTTTATTTCTGCCTTAATTTCGTTATTTACCCAATAGTCATCCAGGAGCAAGTTGTTCAGTTTCTATGTAGTTGTGCGGTTTTGAGTGAGTTTCTTAATCCTGAGTTCTAATTTGATTGCACTGTGGTCTGAGAGACTGTTATGATTTCCGTTCTTTCACATTTTCTGAGGAGTGCTTTACTTCCAATCACGTGGTCAATTTTAGAATAAGTGTGATGTGGTGCTCAGAAGAATGTATATTCTGTTGATGTGGGGTGAAGAGTTCAGTAGATGTCTATTATATCTGCTTGTTGCAGAGCTGTGTTTAGGTCCTGGATATCCTTGTTAACCTTCTATCTCATTGATCTGTCTAATATTGGCAGTGGGGTGTTAAAATCTCCCATTATTATTGTGTGGGAGTCTAAGTCTCTTTGTAGGTCTCTAAGGACTTCCTTTATGAATCTGGGTGCATATATATTTAGGATAGTTAGCTCTTCTTGTTGAGTTGATCCCTTTAGCATTATGTAATGGCCTTCTTTGTCTCTTTTGATCTTTGTTGAGTTAAAGTCTGTTTCATCAGAGACTAGGATTGCAACCCCTGCTTTTTTGTTTGTTTGTTTTGTTTTCCATTTGCTTGGTAGATCTTCCTCCATCCCCTTTTTTTTAGCCTATGTGCATCTTTGCACGTGAGATGGGTCTCCTGAATACAGTACACTGATGGGTCTTGACTCTTCATCCAAGTTGCCAGTCTGTCTTTTAATTGGGTCACTTAGCCCATTTACATTTAAGGTTAATATTGTTATGTGTTAATTTGATCCTGTCATTATGATTTTCACTGGTTATTTTGCCCGTTAATTGATGCAGCTTCTTTATAGCATCGATGGTCTTTACAATTGGGCATGTTTTTGCAGTGGCTGGTACCAGTTGTTCCTTTCCATGTTTAGTGCTTCCTTCAGGAGCTCTTATAAGGCAGGACTGGTGGTGACAAAATCTCTCAGCATTTGCTTGTCTGTAAAGGATTTTATTTCTCCCTCATTTATGAAGCTTAAATGGCTGGATATGAAATTCTGGGTTGAAAACTCTTTTCTTTAAGAATGTTGAATATTGGCCCCCACTCTCTTCTGGCTTGTAGGGTTTCTGCCAAGAGATCTGCTGTTAGCCTGATGGGCTTTCCTTTGGGGGTAACTCGACCTTTCTCTCTGGCTGCCCTTAACACTTTTTCCTTCATTTCAACTTTGGTGAATTTGACAATTATATGTCTTGGAGTTGCTCTTCTCGAGGAATATCTTTGTGGTGTTCTCTGTATTTCCTGAATTTGAATATTGGCCTGCCTTGCTAGATTGGGAAGTTCTCCTGGAAAATATTCTGAAGAGTGTTTTCCAACTTGATTCCATTCTCCCTGTCACTTTCAGGTACACCAATCAAACATACATTTGGTCTTTTCACACAGTCCCTTATTTCTTGGAGTCTTTGTTCATTTCTTTTTACTCTTTTTTCTCTAACTTTGTCTTCTCGCTGTATTTCATTAATTTGATCTTCAGTCACTGATACCCTTTCTTCCACTTGATCAAATCGGCTATTGAAGCCTGTGCATGCATCACGAAGTTCTCATGCCATGGTTTTCAGCTCCATCAGGTCATTTAAGGACTTCTCTACACTGTTTATTCTAGTTAGCCATCCATCTAATCTTTTTTCAAGGTTTTTAGCTTCTTTGTGATGGGTTCGAACATCCTCCTTTAGCTCAGAAGTTTGTTATTACAGACCTTCTGAAGCCTACTTCTGTGAACTCGTCAAAGTCATTCTCCATCCAGCTTTGTTCTGTTGCTGGCAAGGAGCTGTGATCCATTGGAGGAGAAGACACACTCTGATTTTTAGAATTTTCAGCTTTTCTGCTCTGATTTCTCCCCATCTTTGTCATTTTATCTACCTTTGGTCTTTGATGTTGGTGACCTACAGGTGGGGTTTTGGTATAGATGAACTTTTTGTTGATGTTCATGCTATTCTTTTCTGTTTGTTAGTTTTCCTTCTAACAGTCAGGTCCCTCAGCTGCAGGTCTGTTGGAGTTTACTGGAATTGCACTCCAGACCCTGTTTGCCTGGGTATCACCAGCGGAGGCTGCAGAACAGCAAATACTGCTGCCTGATCCTTCCTCTGGAAGCTTCATCCAAGAGAGGCAGCCACCTATATGAGGTGTCTGTTGGCCCATACTGGGAGGTGTCTCAAGTGGGTCAGGGACCCACTTGAGGAGACAGTCTGTCCATTCTCAGAGCTCAAATGCTGTGCTGGGAGAACCACTGCTCTCTTCAGAGCTGTCAGTCAGGGATGTTTAAGTCTGCAGAAGTTGTCTGCTGCCTTTTGTTCAGCTGCACCCTGCACACAGAGGTGGAGTCTAGAGGCAGTAGATCTTGTTGAGCTGTGGTGGGCTCTGCCCAGTTTGAGCTTCCCAGCCACTTTGTTTACCTATTCGAGCCTCAGCAATAGTGGACGCCCCTCCCCCAGCCAGGCTGCCGCCTCACAGATCGATCTCAGACTGTTGCACTAGCAATGAGCAAGGTTCCATGGGCGTGGGACCTGCCGAGCCAGGCACAGGAGAGAATCACCTTGTCTGCCAGCTTCTAATACCTTGGGAAAAGTCCAGTATTTGGGCGGGAGTGTCCTATTTTTCCAGGTAGTCTGTCATGGCTTCCCTTGGCTAGGAAAGAGAAATCCTCTGACCCTTTGCACTTTCTGGGTGAGACAACACCCCGACCTGCTTCAGCTCACCCTCCATGGGCTGCACCCACTGTCCAACCAGTCCCAATGAGATGAACCAGGTACCTCAGTTGGAAATGCAGAAATCACCCGTCTTCTGTGTCGATCATGCTGGGAGCTGCAGACCCAATATGTTCCTATTTGGCCATCTTGACAACTCCCTCTGAAAAATCTTTTTACTGGATATAGAGTTCTATATCCTGCTTACCCACCCTTCACACTTATATATCATTTCTGTGTAACTTGGCTTGATCAGTTTCTAGTGAGAATCACACAATCATTCTTTTCTTTGTTCCTCTGTGACTAAATGTGTTTTTATTTTTTCTTCTGGTCTTTAATATTTTCTCTTTATTACTAGTTTTGGACAATTTATAATGTGTTTTGTTGTAAGCATCTGTGAATTTATCCTGCTTGAGTTTCTTTGAGCTTCTTACATCTGTGGGCATTTAGTTTTCATCATTTTTGGTTATTTTTTGTCCACTATGTGTTTACATATTTTCTTTTCCCCTCTTTTTCTGGGACTTCAAGTGTGTGTGTGTGTGTGCACGTGTGCAGGTGCGTGCATGTGACTGCTCTCCCATAGTTCACTGAGCCTCTGTTCATTTTTCTTTTCAGTCATTTTTGTTTCACTTTTAATATTTATATTATTTTGTCTTCAAAATCTTTAATCTTTGCTTCTTCAATGTCTAACCTGCAGATCGTTCCATCCTATAAAAGTTTCATCTCTAGAAGTTCTATTTGGTTCTGTCATTATGTTTACATTTTTCTTTACATCATCGAGAATATTTAATACTTTTATATTCATATTCTATGTGTGTTCATGTATAAAATAGTTTTAAAGCCTTGCCTGCTAATTCCATGATCATTCTCATTTCTGTGTCTGTTTTTAGTGACAGATTTTTCTTCTGGTTAAGGATCATATTTTCCAGCTTTCTTCAAATGTCTAGTAATTCTTCTTTGAATGTCAGACATTAATTTTATGTTGGTAAGTGCTGAATTTCATTTAAGTAATGTTGGACTTTGTTCTGGCAGGCATTTAAATTACTTGCAGATCAGCATATTTTTCAGGCGTATTCTAAAGCTTTTTTAGAGTGGGTCTAGAATTACCTTTACACTGAGGTAACTTAGCCCCCACTACTAAGGCATGACCTTTCTGGGATTTCTATTGACTGCATTACATATTCAGTGATATCGCTCCACTTTGGCTAGTAGGAACTCAGATAATTCCTAGCCCTGTGTAAGTTCTGTGAGTTATTCAGCTTCTGGTTCTCCACTAATTTTTCTCTCCCAGGTAGTTTTTCTTTACCTGACTTAATAAAGTTCTACCTTTATGTTCACTGATTTGTATTCAGCCAAAGATTCAAGGACCTTATTATATAGATTTCTGGAGCACTTTTTGTGCATAGCAACTTGTTCTCTGGAAATCTTAGCAGCAAATTCTAGCCACCTCACCTTCTTGATCTCTGGTCTTGGTTTTTTCAACCCATTAAGACTATACGGCTTTGTTTGTATTTCTCCTCCCTTCACTGCAGTCTAGAAATTCTAGGCAGAAAGCTAAGGGCAACTATAGATTTCATTTTATATGCTTCCCTTCTATTAGGAATCCTAGTCCTGTGATTCCTGTTAAACAATTTCTGAAAATAGGTTTTTCAGCTATTTTTCCTGTTTTCTAGTTGTTTTGTCAAGAGAGGAAGACCCACAGTAGTTTCTCATTCATGAGTGAAAGAGCACGTCCCCATGGTAATTGGTCTTCTGTAGAGATACTGCATTTTCTTTGGGACAATTTTATTGTTGGCTCTGTTAAGAGATACAGTATTCATAGCTACAGAGCATATTTTACCTAGTTTTTTCACTGAGGGGTTCCAAAAGTATCATAAAAGTCAAAGGCTTCTTGATAGTAGTATTTTCATGCATGGTGCAGGACGAGTGACCATAATTTATGCCCTTCCGTGGAATAAAAAGGACGAGTGTTTCCAATGGGATGTATGTTTGCAGCTCCTGGTTTTGTGCAACGAGCTGAGGAATAGCCCCTCTAGTACATGGTCTGTAACTTTAAATCCTGTTTTTGTGTTGCCATCAAAGTCCTAGCCTCTAAAGCATTTACCATAATGGGCCACACAGTTTCAATTCCCACTTGCCATTGCTTGTTTCCACTTTATTTCCAGCTCCTAGAGATTTGACTTTCTTGTTTTGAAACTCAGCTATGTGATTTTATACAGCTATAAAATGGTAATTCGTTTTCTGTAATTCAATGTGTTTGTAAAGAAAGAATGCTTTTCAACATCAGTTCTGCCTACCATTTGATTATTAGTGTTCCAAAATTTTTACATGATGCAACTGCAATTCAAAAAGAGTATGTGATTTTTATCAGGGTAGAGACTGATTAGTAAGAGGTTAGTAGAAGGACAGAACAGTCACACCTTTTAAATTAAAAAAAAATCAACAAGTATTTTGTTGCACTTCAATTAATATTGAATTGAAATTTTTCATTTACTGCCCCACAGCAAAAAGTAAATCTAGCTTGAGTGCTGCAAGTATACAGCATTTGGGAATTAGCACATAATAAATATTTATAATTGTTGGATGATTAAAAATAGCAGAAGTATGTTGAAAAATCAATTTTTTAAACAAGTATTAGAAGCAAGGAGCAGAAGATAAAACTATTGCTAAGAAGTTTAGTATTATTACTTTCAAGTGTGTGGAGGATTAAGTCTGAAGCTTATGGAAATCCATATATAAGCCTTTTAATGACTAAATTTTTAAAATTTATTATTGATATATTCAGTTTTTTTAATATTGCAAACGATTTTGCTAGTATCTTTCCTCAATAAGTCTATGTGCTCTCACCCTACCTTTGTCAAGTTTAACAGAGTTCATTTTGTTCAGAAAAATGTTCCAGTACATGTCCAAATTTGGTGACTATAATTTTCCTCTGGTGAAATTGCCATATTTTATTATGCTTGTTTTCCATTTTCTAAAAGAACATTTATTTTTAAAGTTTACAATAATAAAATTGGATGTCCTTTAAAAAATATGGGATTTAAACAGTATTCCTTTGTAATTTCTGTTAAGCAGATTGGCTGGTTATTTTCAAAGTGGAGATTGTGTCAATCAATGTCAATTGCATTGTCTTCTCCAGGTTTGTCAGACACTGTTCCAATATAATCCAACTTTTTAAAACATTTGAGATAATTACTCCTACATCTTTTTCCACATTCTAGGCCAGATACAGAAATAAATGAATGTTAGAAGTATAGTTAGCCAATTTGCATGTATAAATGTCTAGTCCATTTATATCAATCCAAATATGTCTCCCTTAATTTAATTTAAGACTAAGTGCTTTAAATTGATATGATTTTAAAAAGGAAAAGATAAAATAGCATTATTTATAGTCACTAAAATAATCCATGAAAGATTAGGAATAAAAGCTTAAATTTTGATTAAATGACCAATTGAAAACAGAGAATAGTTACAGACTGAGCCTCAATCGTAGAGAAGCCATGACACTTAGGATGAGAAGCATGAGCTAATTCATACAAATAATAAAAAGTTACTAATATGATGAAGTCTGCTGAATTCTAAATTGCTACTGGGTAATTTTTCAGTTAAGTATAAATTTAGCATCTGGCACATTCATCCAACTTGAATACATGTCATGTGGTTAAATAAAATATGAAGAGCTATTTAAAATTTGAAAGATGTAGACTAAATGCTACTAAACTGTTTAGCATTCCACATTTTCATTCCTGAAAATCTAACTTCTCTTCAGGTTTTTCTTCTCTAATAGTAGCCTTAACATAATTTCTAAAGTGAGAAAAATAGTGGGATAAATCATGAAAAATAAAAATATGAATTCCAAATAGTTGCATTTACAAAACACTAAGCCATGCTCAACAAAACTTTTTTTAGGAACTCAATCTTAGAAATGTTTTCTAATATTATTCTTTCATAAATGATAGTTAATAAAGAATAAGCATCTTGCATTTATGTTTTCAGAAGGACTTATAATAATATTTAAGCAAACATGCTCATCAACAGAGAGAAATAAGTGTCTGAAGAACAGTCCCACAGGAAAATCATTTTTTAAATAAATTTTATCCTTTTATGACAGCCATTTTAGTACCATATATCTTAAAAATTAAAATAATTACTCTGAAAATGCCCTACTGCCCATTAGTTGTGGTGGCGATACTTTAGAACCACTATGAATATCATCAGCAGAAGGCTTGTGCTTCCACAAAACCGAATATCATGCAGATATTAAAAGAGTAAGTCAGCCGGGTGCCTAGATTCCTGTATTCAAGGGCAGGAAGCATCCAGCACAGGAGAAAGATGTAGGCTGGGAAGCTAGGCCAGTCTCACTTTTTCATATTTTTCTGCCTGCTTTATATTCACTGGCAGCTGATTACATTGTGCCCACAAGATTAAGGGTGGGTCTGCCTTCCCCAGCCCACTGACTCAAATGTTAATCTCCTTTGACAACACCCTCACAGACACACCCAGGATCAATACTTTGCATCCTTCAATCCAATCAAGTTGACACTCATACACATCTCATACACATCTCCTGAAATCATACATAATCTTTAAATAAAGAAAATAATAAGGTCATAATTAGGCCTAACATAATACAACTATCTTTAGTACAACCGGAAACACACCAATCCCCCAACTCAAATACTATTATGTAAAGTTAACAATACTTCAATTCTGAAATGAAATCAATAAATCTTATGTCACATGATGAAGTCAAAGGAAATAAAATGAAGATATTTTCTTAGTACAGCTGTATACATCTACAAACATGATTTTAACAAAAGGAGGAAATACTCATGACAGTTACAGTCCTCATTTCTGCAGCTGGTCATGTGGTTCTAGCAGGTATTGATAACTATCTTCTTCTACTACCCATTCTGCATTCCCTTTGCCTTCAGCAAGCACCTCAGCAGGTCATATTTTTTTCCTGGTATAGTGACCCAAACCTTCATTCCTGAGGGGTCTGGACCATTTGTAGTCCTTCCTGGATTGAGTTATTGTAGTTTCCCGTTGACCTTAAACACAGGGCATGGTAATACTAAGAGATGCCCTAATGGATCTCCTGTATTCCATGTATACTCTTCCTTACCTCTGTTTTGGAGCAGTAGACTGATTTCATCTTGATGATCTGGGTCAGTCACCCCAGCCAACAGTGTAACTCCCTTTTTAGCCTGTTGACTTAAAGGTAGGAGGATCCCAAAGTGTCCAGGTGGCAATCTTTAACTACCAGTTTAATGGAATCATTGTTTTGTCTCCTGGTGGCACTATTCCTCCATCTGGAACTAAGACCTATAGGCCAGCAGAATGTAATGTCACAGGAACATGAAACAAAAATTTTGCTATTGGAACACTAGGGGTGATGGTGAGTGGTGCCACTTCCACTTGCAGCCCTTGATTCCTGGACCCATGAATCCTGTCTATGGGAGAAACAGTACCATATACTGGACACTAATTCAGAGCATACACGGCCTTCTGGAGAACTTTGCCCCAGCCCTGCAAAGTAATGTCACTGTACACTGTTGGCACTGTAATTGTGACTTCAAAAGGCCATTCCACTGTTCTGTCAATCTAGCTGTTTCAGGATGATGAGGAACATGGTAAAACCAGTGAATTCCATGAGCATGAGCCCACTGCTGCACTTCTTTAGCTGTAAAGTGAGTGTCTTGGTCAGAGGCAATGCTGTGTGGAATACCATGATAGTGGATAAGTATCGGGGGAACCAGCCCCCAATATTTCAACATAGGTTCTTTTCTATTTTCCCTAAGTGTCAGCTGGTCTGAGAAATAAAGGGAAAGAGTACAAAAGAGAGAAATTTTAAAGCTGAGTGTCCGGGGGAGATGTCACATGTCGGCAGATTCTGTGATGCCCCCTGAGCCACAAAACCAGCAAGTTTTTATTATGGATTTCAAAAGGGGAGGGGTGTACGAATAGGGTGTGGGTCACAGAAATCACATGCTTCAAGGGCAACAAAATATCACAAGGCAAATGGGCAGGGCAAGGTCAGAAGGCCAGGGCAAAATTAGAATTACTGATAAGGTACCCTGTCCCACTGTGCATGCATTGTCATTGATAAACATCTTAACAGGAAACAGGGTTCAAGAGCAGAGAACCAGTCTGACTAGAATTTCGCCAGGCTGGAATTTCCCAATCCTAACAAGCCTGGGGGTGCTGTAGGAGACCAGGGTACATTTCATCCCTTATCTACAACTGCATAAGACAGACACTCCCAGAGCGGCCATTTTAGGGGCCTGTCAGTGGGAGTGCATTCTTTTCCCAGGGCTGTTCCTTGCTGAGAAAAAGAATTCAGTGATATTTCTCTTATTCGCTTTTGCAAGAAGAGAAATATGACTCTGTTCTGCCCCGCCCCGCCCCGCAGGCAGTCAGACTTTATGGTTATTTCCCTTGTTCCCTGAAAATCACTGTTATCCTGTTCTTTTAGGATGCCCAGATTTCATATTGTTCAAACACGCATGTTTTACAAACAACTTATACAGATAACATAATCATCACAGGGTCCTGAGGTGACATACATCCTTACTTTACAAAGATGATGGGATTAAGAGATTAAAGTAAAGACAGGCATAGGAAATTATAAGAGTATTGATTGAGAAGTCAGAAATGTCCATGAAATCTTCACAATTTATGTTCAGAGACTGCAGTAAAGACAGGCATAAGAAATTATAAAAGTATTAATTTAGGGAATTAATAAATGTCCATGAAATCTTCACAATTTATGTTCTTCTGCTGTGGCTTCACCCAGTCCCTCTATTCAGGGTCCCTGACTTCCCACAACAGATAATGCATTCCATGAATCCATGGATGGAGTCTTGGCAGAAACATTGCATGCAGGATAGGCAAACCCATATCCAGAGTAAGTGTCTGTTCCAGTGAGGACAAACCTCTGCCCTTGCTATGATGGAAGAGATCCAATATAATCAACCTGCCACCAGGTAGCTGGCTGATCACTCTGAGGAATGGCGCCATATCGAGGGTTCAGTGTTGGTATCCGCTGCTGGCAAATTGGGCACTCAGCAGTGGCGGTAGCCAGGTCAGCCTTGGTGAGTGGAAGTCCATGTTGCTGAGCCCATGTGTAACCTCCATCCTTGCCACCATGACCACATAGTTCATGGGTCCACTGGGGAATAAGAGAGGTGGCTGGGGAAAGAGGCTGAGTGATGTCCACAGAACAGGTCATCCTATCCACTTGATTATTGAAATCCTCCTCCGCCAAGGTCACCCATTGGTGAGCACTCACATGAGATACAAATATCTTCAGTTTTCAATCACTCAGAAAGGTCCATCCACTTACCTCTTCCCCAAATTTCTTTGTCACCAATTTTCCAATCATACTTCTTCCAAGTCCCTGACCATACAGCCAAACCACTGGCTACAGCCAATGAATCAGTATATAATCGCACATCTGGACATTTCTCCTTCCAGGCAAAGTACACAACCAGGTGCACTGCTCGAAATTCTGCCCACTGGGAAGATTTCCCTTCACTGCTGTCCTTCAGGGATGTCCTAGAAAAGGGTTGTAATGCAGTGGTCTACTTTCAGGTAGTGCCTGCATATCATGCAGAATCATCTGTGAACCAGGCCTTAGTCTTCTCTTCCTCTGTCAACTAATCATAGGGAACTCCCCATGAAGCCACTGGTGCAGGCTAGGGGAGAGGAGGCAGGGTGGCAGGAGTGGAGACCATGGGCATTTGAGCCACTTCTTCATGTAACTTATTTGTGCCTTCAGGACCTTCTCAAGCCCGATCAAGTATACTTTCATTTGATGATGGAATGCTGCTGTGCATGACCCACTTTATGGCTAGATAGGTCAGAAAGCACCCAGTTCATGATAGGTAGTTCAGGTTGCATGGTGACTTGATGATCCATAGTCAAACATTCGGTTTCCACCAAAGCCCAGTAACAGACCAATAGCTGTGTGTCAAAAGGAGAGTAGTTATCTGCAGAAGATGGCAGGGCCTTGCTCCAAAATTTTAGAGGCCTCCCCTGTAATTCACCGATGGAGGCCTGCCAAAGGCTCCAAACAGCATCCCTATCTGCCACTGACACCTCAAGCACCATTGGGTCTGCTGGGTCATATGCCCCAAGTAGCAGAGCAGCTTGCACAGCAGCATGGACCTGTTGCAGAGCCTTCTCCTGTTCCGGACCCCACTCAAAACTGGCAGCCTTTTGGGTCACTTGATAAATGGGCCGGAGTAACACACGCAGATGAGGCATGTGTTGCCTCCAAAATCCAAATAGACCCACTAGACATTGTGCCTCTTTCTTAGTTTTAGGAGGGGCCAAATGCAGCAACTTATCCTTCACCTTAGAAGGAATATTTTGACAGGCCCCACACCACTGGACCCCTAGACATTTTACTGAGGTAAATCCCTGTATTTTAGTTGGATTTATTTCTCATCCTCTGGCAGCCAAATGTCTCACCAATAAGTCTAGTGTGTTTGCTACTTCTTGCTCACTGAATCCAATCAGCATAATGCCATCAATCTAATGGACCAGTGTGATATCTTGAGGAAGCAAAAAGCCATCAACATCTCTCCAAATAAGATTATGACACAAAGCCAGAGAGTTGATATACCCCTGAGGTAGGATAGTAAAAGTATATTGCTGGCCTTGCCAGCTGAAGGCAAATTGCTTCTGGTGGGCCTTATGGACAGGAATGGAGAAGAAGGCATTTGCAAGTCAATGGCTGCATACCAGGTAACAGGAGATGTGTTAATTTGCTCAAGCAATGCAACCACATCTGGTACAGCAACATATTATTCAATGACAAAAAGCTAAAAGCTTTTCCCCTAAGAAATGGGAGTAGACAATGATGCCTACTCTTATCACTCTTAGCATATACTGGAAGTCCTAGCCAGAGCAATTAGGCAAGAGAGAGAAATAAAGAGCATCGAATTTGAAAGGAGGAAGTCGAATTCTTCCTGTTTGCAGGCAACGTATCATATATATAGCAAAACCTAAAGACTCTACAAAAAAACCCTCTTAGAACTGATAAGCAAATTCAATAAATTTGCAGGATACAAAATTAATATTCAAAAAACAAAATTCAAAATTAATATTCAAAGAAATCTTTCTATACGTAAATAAAGAACTAGCTGAAAAAGAAATCAAGAAGGCAGTGCCATTTACAATAGCTACCAAAAAATAAAATAAAATACCTAGGAATAAATTTAACCAAGGAGGTGAAAGACCTCTACAAGGAAAACTGAAAAACACTGATGAGAGAAATTGAAGAGGATACAAACAAATAGAAAGGCATCCCACGCTCAAGGATCAGAAGGACTAATATTGTTAAATGACAATACTAACCAAAACAATCTATAGATTTAATTCAATTCCTATCAAAATGTCAATGACATTCTTCATAGAAATAGAAAAAAATCCCTAAAACTTGTACAGAAGCACAAAAGACTGAATAGCCAAAGCAACCCTGAGCAAACAGAACAAAGAAGGAGATATCACACTACCAGACCTCAAAATATACTACAATGCTGAAGTAACAAAACCAGCATGGCACTGGCAGAAAAACACAGAGACCAATAGAACAGAATAAAGACCCCCAAAATTAATTAAACCATATATCTACAGCCGACTGATTTTTGACAGGGGTGCCAAGAATACTCATTGGGGAAAGGACGTTCTCTTAAATAAATGGTGCTGGGAAAACTATCTATATACAGATGAATGAAACTAGTTCCCTACTTCTCCCCATATCCAAAAATAAACCCTAAATTGATCAAAGACCTAAATGTAAGACTTAAAACAGTAAAACTACTGGAAGAAAACATAAATGAAATGCTTCAAGACATGAGTCTGAAAAAAGATTTTATTAGAGCACGGGCAACAAAAGCAAGAAATAAACAAATGGGATTATATTAAACTAAGAGGCTTCTCCACAGAAGAAAAAAATCAGTTGAGTGAAAAGACAACCCATGGAATGGGAGAAAATATTTGCAAACTACTCATCCAACAGGGAATTAATATACAAAATATACAAGGAACTCAGACATCTCAATGGCAGAAAAAGAATGACCAATTAATCTGAACAGACATTTCTCAAAAGAAGACATGCAAATGGGGAACAAATGTTTGATAAAATGCTTAACATCACTAATCAGGAAAATGCAAATCAAAACCACAATAATGTTGTGGTGTATCATCTCACCCCAGTTAGAATGGCTATTATCAAAAACAAAAAATAACAAATGCTGGCGAGAATGTGGAGAAAAGGGAACTCAACACACTGCTGGTGTGAAGTAAACTAGTACAGCTACTATGGAGAATAGTAAGGAGGTTCCTCAAAAAACTACAAATAGAATTTCCATATGATATAGCAATCCCACTACTGTGCATTTATCTAAAGAAAAGGAAATTACTGTGTCACAAGAGACATCTGCACCCCCGTGTTTATTACAGCACTATTTACAATAGCCAAGATAAGATACCATCATAGGTGTCAAGCAACAGATGAAAGGATTTTTTATTTTTTTTGAGACAGAGTCTCACTCTGTCGCCCAGGCTGGAGTGCAGTGGTGTGATCTCGGCTCACTGCAAGCTCTGCCTCCTGGGTTCAGGCCATTCTCCTGCCTCAGCCTCCCGAGTAGCTGGGACTACAGGCGCCCACGACCACGCCCGGCTAATTTTTTGTATTTTTTAGTAGAGACGGGGTTTCATCATGTTAGCCAAGATGGTCTTGATCTCCTGACCTCGTGATCCACCCACATTGGCCTCCCAAAGTGCTAGGATTACAGGCGTGAGCCACCGCGCCCAGCAGATGAAAGGAGTTTTTTGAGACGAAGTCTCGCTCTGTCACCTAGGCTGGAGTGCAGTGGCGCAATCTCGGCTCACTGCAAGCTCCGCCTCCTGGATTCACGCCATTCTCCTGCCTCAGCCTCCCGAGCAGCTGGGACTACAGGCGCCCCCCACCACACCCGGCTAATTTTTGTATTTTTTGTAGAAACAGGGTTTCACCATATTGGCCAGGCTGGTCTCGAACTCCTAACCTCAGGTGATCCACCTGCCTTGGCCTCCCAAAGTGCTGGGATTATAGTCATGAGCCACTGTGCCTGGCAAAAATTTATAGTTTAAAATTAAAAATTTAAAAATAATTTAGAAGCATATCATTATTATTATAAATACTTGGAATGATGGCATGTTTGTATACTCAGCTAGCTTTCTAACCAGATATCATTGATGTATTCTATATATCAAAATGAAATTCACTAGGATTTTGCTAATTCCTTACATGATTGTTAAGGCTAAAATGCAATCTGTTATTAAAATGACATCATGTCAGTTCTGTTTCTCAAAACTAAATTTAAAGAAGTTTCCCTTTAGGCATATTCTGATTGACATGTGGTTGAATTATTTCTAAAGAACATTCATTCATATGCAACAACAATTTTATTCAGATCCTGAAACTTAAAATTTTGTCATGGCCTTTTAATGGAGGATCTTCCTTTTAAATGTCTGATAAAGATTATAAGAAAACACAGTCCTGACCAGTGAACATGAACCCTTAGACTATTTGGAGAAACATGGCTGAACACCCTAAAGTTGGACGGTTGTGAAAACCCATCAGAACTGTAGATAGCACATTAGGCAGCAAATGTGGGAAGGAAAAATGATCCAGCTCCACTTTTAGGAGGTTTTCAAAACATTTCAACTGTAAATGAATTGAGTGGACCATGAAACTGATAAAATATCTAGGTTGTCATCTTCATTTTGGGTTACATGGATCATGATTTTTTCAATTAGTAGGCAAAGATCAAGCATCTCCATGTAAGTAACAGCCTTCTGTGTTCTGGTCTCCTTCCCACCTCTCTACCACCTCCAACCCCTACTGAGTACTAAATTTTGCTGATATTTTCAAAAAGATCACAACTTTTATGCATGTTTCTTTTCTTATTTGGTGGAATCACTTCCTATTTTGACAATTCAAGAAGTAAATGATAATGTGACCCATTTCCCTAAAATCAAGGCCTCCATTTTGCATAACACAATGAGAATTTTAAACAGGAAAGGGAAAAGGAAGAATTTAATTAGTAGGGAAGTTTGAAAATATACTTTAAAGAATATACAGGAAAGGAATAAGGGCATTTGACATCCTCTAGAGATCTTTTCTATATAACTAATGCATATGAGAAAAGCAGATGTTACCAATGGAAAATGTGAAACTGAAACACTCCATACTTACCAACCAAAATCACAGAGAATGCTTCCTAGGGACCAGGATATTTCTCTGTCAGGAGAGGTCTCTAGAAATCCAAAAAACTGTCAATAATCATTCAGTACAAAGACAATGATAGTGGGTCTAGGAATACATATTTAGAGAATTAGTTTCTCTGAAAGGAAGGCTGAAGATCATGTTAGGACTTTGAAATGAGTCTAAGTCAATATTAGAGTAGACCCAGATTTATTTTCAATAATTATATCTCTCCAATTTACATTAAGATTCTATAGCCTTGAAATGACCAGGACCCAGGTGATCCAAGATCTTTAGATCACTTCAAAACCTCGTCTGATTCTGCACTAGCCTCCTTTGGGCCAAAAAAACATTGGTCTAGTAATTGCTTCCTTGTCATAGTTCTATTTTCAACATGGAGAGTAAAGGACATGTGTGACCATAGTACAATTATACTTGATAAGTTGTTCTCCCATACAAGTTGGTTCCAAAGGTAAAGGATGAAAGGCATAATGTCCACAATCTCTGAGCATCTGAAAAGTATGAAGAAGTGAATTCCTAACACATATAAAAATGCATTGTCTTCAAATTGAGTGATGGGTTTTAAAGTTCGGGAAACAGGAAAGAAAGTTTAAAAATCTATTATACTTACTTGTATTTCTTTACTTCTTACATTAAACGACTGGGAAATAAAGAATTATTAGAACTGGGCTGGGCGCGGTGGCTCACGCCTGTAATCCCAGCAATTTGGGAGGCCGAGGCAGGCGGATCACCTGAGGTCAGGAGTTCACAACCTGGCCAACATAGTGAAACCCCGTCTCTACTAAAAGAACAAAAATTAGCCAGGTGAGGTGGCAGGCACCTGTAATCCCAGCTACTCAGGAGCCTGAGGCAGGAGAATCGCTTGAACCACGGAGGCGGAGGTGGAGGTGGAGGCGGGGGTTGCAGTGAGCCAAGATCACACTACTGCAGTCCAGCCTGGGTGAAAAGAACAAGACTCCATCTCAAAAAAAAAAAAAAAAATTATTAGAACTGGCTTATATACAAGAAATTTTTAAAGCATACAAATGTAAATGGGATTTAATACTATTCACAGCTTCCTTCCATAATGTCAAAAAGCAGTCTTCTTTCCTTGTACCCAGAAAAACTGCCATTTTAAACTGCAAAATAATTATGAACATTTATTCAAACTGTTTAAATATGAATACTTATGAACCATCATCATTCTATTGTATTGTTTATCAATCAAGATTCTATAATGTTTCCAAAATAGTCTTGGAAATAACCAGGTGGGCTGAGACCTATCATTATTAGAACAGGAGCAAACTGAGCTGATACTTAAGTTGATTGTGCCTATTTGCATGGCCATGATGTTGACTATTTGTTAAATGCCTACTTGTATCAGACATTGTTTTAGGTACATTGTTTTAATGCTATAAATATCTCATTTAATACTGAAAATTGGAACACCAATTAACTTGTCAAAAATAACACAGCTAGTATGTAGCAGAACCTAGATTCAAACTCAGATCAGTCTGCCTCTAAAGCCTACACCCTGTCTCCTAAATTGGGTTGCCTTCTAAGGTAATTTGTTTAACAAATGCTGAAAGAACTAGTCCCTTTTCTGTATACATATTGATAGCATCTTATAGATAATGAGAACCCCCAGTGTATTGTTACTAACAGTCACTCAAAAAACATTCCCTGAATGAATGAATGAATGAATGGTCAACTAACTCATCTCCACAATCAGGCAGGTCATTCTCAACTTAAAAAATATGATTTTCTTTAATTTAATTAGATCCCATTTGTCAATTTTGGCTTTTGTTGCCATTGCTTTTGGTGTTTTAGACATGAAGTCCTTGCCCATGCCTATGTCCTGAATGGTAATGCCTAGGTTTTCTTCTAGGGTTTTTATGGTTTCAGGTCTAACGTTTAAGTCTTTAATCCATCTTGAATTAATTTTTGTATAAGGTATAAGGAAGGGATCCAGTTTCAGCTTTCTACATATGGCTAGCCAGTTTTCCCAGCACCATTTATTAAATAGGGAATCCTTTCCCCGTTGCTTGTTTTTCTCAGGTTTGTCAAAGATCAGATAGTTGCAGATATGCGGCATTATTTCTGAGGGCTCTGTTCTGTTCCCTTGATCTATATCTCTGTTTTGGTACCAGTACCATGCTGTTTTGGTTACTGTAGCCTTGTAGTATAGTTTGAAGTCAGGTAGCGTGATGCCTCCAGCTTTGTTCTTTTGGCTTAGGGTTGACTTGGTGATGTGGGCTCTTTTTTGGTTCCATATGAACTTTAAAGTAGTTTTTTCCAATTCTGTGAAGAAAGTCATTGGTAGCTTGATGGGGATGGCATTGAATCTATAAATTCCCTTGGGCCGTATGGCCATTTTCACGATATTGATTCTTCCTACCCATGAGCATGGAATGTTCTTCCATTACTTGGTATCCTCTTTTATTTCATTGAGCAGTGGTTTGTAGTTCCTTGAAGAGGTCCTTCACGTCCCTTGTAAGTTGGATTCACAGGCATTTTATTCTCTTTGAAGCAATTGCGAATGGGAGTTCACTCATGATTTGGCTCTCTGTTTGTCTGTTATTGGTGTATAAGAATGCTTGGGATTTTTGTACATTGATTTTGTATCCTGAGACTTTGCTGAAGTTGCTTATCAGCTTAAGGAGATTTTGGGCTAAGACAATGGGGTTTTCTAGATATACCATCATGTCATCTGCAAACAGGGACAATTTGACTTCCTCTTTTCCTAATCGAATACCCTTTATTTCCTTCTCCTGCCTAATTGCCCTGGCCAGAACTTCCAACACTATGTTGAATAGGAGTGGTGAAAGAGGGCATCCCTGTCTTGTGCCAGTTTTCAAAGGGAATGCTTCCAGTTTTTGCCCATTCAGTATGATATTGGCTGTGGGTTTTTCTTAGATAGCTCTTATTATTTTGAGATACGTCCCATCAATACCTAATTTATTGAGAGTTTTTAGCATGAAGCGTTGTTGAATTTTGTCAAAGGCCTTTTCTGCATCTATTAAGATAATCATGTGACTAAAGAGCTTCTGCACAGCAAAAGAAACTACCATCAGAGTGAACAGGCAACCTACAAAATGGGAGAAAATCTTCGCAACCTACTCATCTGACAAAGGGCTAATATCCAGAATCTACAATGAACTCAAACAAATTTACAAGAAAAAAACAAACAACCCCATCAAAAAGTGGGCGAAGGACATGAACAGACACTTCTCAAAAGAAGACATTTATGCAGTGAAAAAACACATGAAAAAATGTTCACCATCACTGGCCATCAGAGAAATGCAAATCAAAACCACAATGAGATACCATCTCACACCAGTTAGAATGGCAATCATTCAAAAGTCAGGAAACAACAGGTGCTGGAGAGGATGTGGAGAAATAGGAACACTTTTACACTGTTGGTGGGACTGTAAACTAGTTCAACCATTGTGGAAGTCAGTGTGGCGATTCCTCAGGGATCTAGAACTAGAAATACCATTTGACCCAGCCATCCCATTACTGGGTATATACCCAAAGGATTACAAATCATGCTGCTATAAAGACACATGCACACGTATGTTTCTTGGGGCACTATTCACAATAGCAAAGACTTGGAACCAACCCAAATGTCCAACAATGATAGACTGGATTTAGAAAATGTGGCACATATACACCATGGAATACTATTCAGCCATAAAAAATGATGAGTTCATGTCGTTTGTAGGGACATGGATGAAATTGGAAATCATCATTCTCAGTAAACTATCGCAAGGACAAAAAACCAAACACCTCATGTTCTCACTCATAGGTGGGAATTGAACATTGAGAACACATGGACACAGGAAGGGGAACATCACACTCTGGGGACTGTTGTGGGGTGGGGGGAGGAGGAAGAGATAGCATTAGGAGATATACCTAATGCTAAATGAAGAGTTAATGGGTGCAGCACACCAGCATGGCACATGTATACATATGTAACTAACCTGCACGTTGTGCACATGTACCCTAAAACTTAAAGTATAATAATAATAAAATAAAATAAAATAATATGATTTTCATATTTTATATAAAATACATATTTTCTATTTTAAATAAATATAAAATATGTATTTTTAAAACATCTTTAGGGAAGCATAATCCACAATTTCACTTGGCAATCAACTATTTTCATTTTAAAAAGTAATTTTCAGTGTCTACAAAACTAACATTAATAGCTTTATACACTAAAATTATGAAACAAGTGAAGCCTGTCAGTTCAGTATGAAATAAAACAGTGAAATCATTTCTTTTATTCTTATAAGCAAACAAGTAAAACACGGAGTTGGATAAATGAAAACATTTCTTAGAAATATAAAATTTAACGTTGATTCCTTTTTCTAATAAAAATCTAACTTAGGCCAGGCGTGGTGGCTCACTCCTGTAATCCCAACATTTTGGGAGGCTGAGGTGAGTGGATCACCTGAGGTTAGGAGTTCCAGACCAGCCTGGCCAACATGGTAAAATCCTGTCCCTACTAAAAATACAAAATTAGTCGTCTGTGGTGGTGCATGCCTGTAATCCAAGCTACTTGGGAGGCTGAGGCAGGAGAGTCACTTGAACCTGGGAGGCGGAGTTTGCAGTGAGCTGGGATGGTGCCACTGCACTCCAGCCTGGGCAACAAGAGTGAAACTCCATCTCAAAAAAATAAAAATAAAAAAAATCTATTAAATCTTTGTATTTTCATTTGGATTAATGAAATTTTCTCTTCCTCCAAGGTTGTGAAACAAACTGTCTATTTTGTTTCTGTTTTTGTTTTTTTTTTTTTTTTCTTTTGAGATGGAGTCTCGCCCTGACACCAGGCTGGAGTGCAGTGATGCAATCTTGGCTCACTGCAATCTCCGCCTCCCGGGTTCAAGCAATTCTCCTGCCTCAGCCTCCCAAGTAGCTGGAACTACAAGCACGTGCCATCATGCCCAGCTAATTTTTGTATTTTTAGTAGAGACAGGGTTTCACCATGTTGGCCAGGATGATCTCGATCTCTTGACCTCATGATCCGCTCACCTCGGCCTCCCAAAGTGCTGGGATTACAGGCATGAGCCACTGTGCCTGGCCCAAACTGTCTATTTTCTGAATATGTTTCAGCCCTTCTGATGATATAGAACTCTGGAAATCTACAATGAGTAGAAAGATAAGTATTGAATTCATGTATCTTATAGAATGATCTACTTATAAAGTCAATATTTTACAATGTAAACTACAAGCATTTCAGCCGTATGCTGAGCCACCTAAAATCAACACTCCTTTGAAGCCCACAGAATTTCTCACCTCCTTTAAAAAAAAAAGAAGCGCATTACCAAGAACAGGTCATCATAAATAGAATCATCTTAGGCTGGGAAAGATGGCTCACGCCTGTAATCCCAGCACTTAGGGAGGCCGAGGCAGGTGGATCACTTGAGGCCAGGAGTTTGAGACCAGCCTGGCCAGTGTAATGAAACCCCATCTCTACTAAAAATACAAAAATTAGCTGGGCATGGTGGCGCACACATGCAGTCCCAGCTACTTGGGAGGCTGAGGCATGAGAATCGCTTGAACCCAAGAGGCAGAGGCTACAGTGAGCCAAGATCACACCACTGCCCTCCAGCCTGGGCAACAGAGTGAGATTCTGTCTCAAAAAAAAAAAAAAAAACAAAACAAACAAAACAACAACAACAACAAAAACAATAAGCTTAAACCTAAATAAGAAAAATATTATTCAATGATTCACTTTTAAGTCAGCAACTCAAAAAGTGCTTCATATATTTTCAGCCACTGCATGCTGCATTATGCCACAACTTGGAAGTGTTCAATGTAGAACAATTGACAGAAACAGCTCTCTCATCCAAACATAACAGTTTTCCATTAAAGATAAATAAACTCTAAACTTTCACCTAGATCTTTCTTCAGAGGTAGACTGTGTTGTGATATGGAGCGCTCCACACATGCTCACCCTTAAAATATGCTCAGATGCTGCCCCCTCAGAGAAGTCTCCCTGACTACCCACACACCCAATCCTCCAAGCAAACTATTCACTCTTTTCTCTGATGCTGAAGATGTTTTGCCAGGACACTTATTTCATTATGTTGTAATCAGTTTGTTGTTTTTTTTTTTTTTTTTACTATACTGTGAAATTTTTGACTGGTAAAATGATATCTTAGTCACTGTTCAATATTTAAAGATAAAATTTTCTTATTAGCATTATCTTCTCCAAACTAAATGTATCCACTACTTCTCATCACTCCATGCATAAAGGTTTTCCAAATCCCTTAAATAACCTGGCCACCCTCCCCTGAATGCTTTTTGCTTAGTAAATGTCCCCATGACTCAAAAATAACATTCAACATTGGAGCCAAATCTATTTATCTGAAGCAGACCTACACAGCTCTCCAGAGTTTATGCCATTGTGATCCCTTGTATGTAAAACCAACTTATAACACGTTTCTGTAAACAACTAAGCATCTGGGATAGTGTATAAGGTAGATTAAGTCATTCAACAGGCATATATTAAGTAGCACAATGTACCAGGCACTGGACTAGGAGCTGAGGATCCTACCATAGTCACATCAAGGAGGCATTTCTTGTGTAGCTTCCCAGCATGTATTAACACTCTGTCACACATAAATGGGGGTTTCATAAACAACTACTTTTGGTATGCTATTGGTTATATCAATATTAACAGACTTCTTTTTTTAAGACCTTTTGCAAATTCTAATATATAAATTGTGACTCTCTAAGACTAAGAATATAATATGCAGCATTTCCCAAATATTTGATCACACCACACTGTTTTCACAATGCATCTTGAAGAAGCATCTCCTGAGAATACTTTATACAGTACCTTCTAGAATCTATACAGGAGTAAGCAGATCATTGTGGTCTAGGGAAATAAGAGCAAAGGAAGTACCCCAGGGTGAGATGCAAGTAAAGTACAAAGGTGGGATGCAAGTACAGGGGATGTAAGGGAAAGCTTCTAGAGAGAAGAGATACTCAATACAGATCTCCAAGGACACATCTGAGTAAGTTAAGTGAAAAGAAGTCAGTGGTGAGGTTTTCAGAAAGACTTTTCAGGTATGGGCAAAGCCCAAAGGGGCTTACTATGCACAGTAGCATGTCATGGTCAGAATGGCAGTCACATCTACATTAGCTGGAGGAATCACACGAAAACATCATATTAAAAGAAATCATGAAAAATTTCATTAGAAGCCCTTAACTTCTAATGAGAATGTGACTGCTATCAGTCAGGAATTCTCCCTACTCCCAAACCTACTCTTCCAAAAGTATACAAAACCAAGAAGAATGAAAAATTGGAATTAAATAAAAACATTTTCAATGAAGCTAAAATACATATCATGTGTAGATCCCTAAATATAACTATGAGTTGCTAAAAACAATTAAGATTGGGAAGAAGTTAATAAAGGAGTTAAAAAGGAGTCAAATCACAGAAAGTGGAACCTGTCCACTGTTGTCTTGAGTCTCAAAAAGCACCAGCAAAAACACAGCTTTCTAAAAATTGAAGACATATTCTGAAATCTAAAAACTGTAATTCTTGTTTACAAGGATGTAGGAGCTGTGTTGAGCAAGGCAGGAAATGGCTTGATTTAGAGTAGCAAAATATGAGTGGCTCTAAAAAAAATCACATAAACAAGCCATATTTGCAGGAAGCTATCTGCTTCTGTGGCAGAAACTTGTGGAGAAATATTTTACACAGAGAATTATTCTGTGTGGTGATGACTCTCTCTACCTAACTGTAATGAGCTCTACAGAAAATAGCTGGTCTAGTGAAATACACACATTTAATAATAACTAAATTAATAAAAAAGAAACAAGTACAGGCATAACTCAGAGATATTGCAGGTTTGGTTCCAGATCATCACAATAAAGCAAGTCACATGAATTTTTTTGGCATCCCAGTGCATGTAAAAGTTATGTTTATACTATACTGTAGACCATTAAGTGTCCAGTAGCATTATGTATAAAAAACAACGTACATGCCATAATTTAAAAATAATTTATTGCTAAAAAAGCTAATAATCATCTTGGCCTTGAGTAAGTTGTAAGCTTTGTGCTGGTGGAGGGTCTTCTCTACTTTGATGGCTGCTGACTGACTACAGTGGTTGTTGCCTAAAGTTGAAGCATCCATGGCAATTTCTTAAAATAAGAAAACAATGAAGTTTGCTGCATCAATTGATTGTTCATTTCATGCAATATTTCTCTAGTATGCAATGCTGTTTGATAGCATTTTACCCACAGTAGAACTTCCTTCAAAATTGGAGTCAATCCTCTCAAGCCCTATCTCACTGCTCTATCAACTAAGTTTATGTACTATTCTATGTCCTTTGTTGTCGTTTCAACAATGCTCACAGCATCTTCACCAGAAGTAGATTCCATACCAAGAAACCTTTCTTTACACATCCATAAAAACCACTCCTCGTTTGTTCAAGTTTTATCCTGAGATTGCACCAATTTAGTCCCAAATTCAGGCTCTGCTTCTAATTCTAGTCTTCTTTACATCTCCACCACATCTTCAGTTACTTCATCGCACTGATGTCTTGAACCCCTCAAAATCATCTGTTAGGGTTGGAACCGTCTTCTTCTAAACTTCTGTTAATGTTGATATTTTGACCTCCTGCCATGAATTGTGAATGTTGTTAATGGCATCTAGAATGGTGAACTCTTTTGAAAAGACTTTCAATTGACTTTGCCCAGATTCATCAAAGGAATCACTAGGGCAGCTGAGCACTATGTAAAGTATTTCTTAAATAGCAAATCTGAAAGTCAAAATTACTCCTTGATCCATGAGCTGTAGAATGGATGCTGAATTAGCATCCATGAAAGCAACATTAATCTTCTGCACATCTCCATCAGACCTCTTGGGTAATCAAGTGCATTGTCAATGAGCAGTAATATTTTGAAAAGACTCTTATTCTGAGAAATAGGTCTCAATGGTGGGCTTAAAATATTCAGTAAACCATACTGTAAACAGATGGGCTCCCATCTAGAGTTTGTTTTTTCATTTATAGAGCACAGGAAGAGTAGAAACAGCATAATTCTTAAGGCCCTAGGATTTGCAGAATGGTCAATGAGCTTTGGCTTCAACTTAAAGTCACCAGTTGCATTAGCTCCTAACAACAGAGTCGGCCCATCCTTTGAAGCCAGTCATTGACTTCTCTCTAGCTTTGAAAGTCCTAGATGGCATCTTCTTGCAATAGAAGGCTGCTTTGTTTACATTGAAAATCTGCTGTTTAGTGTAGCCACCTTCATCAATGATCTTAGCTAACTCTTCTGGACAGCTTGCTACAGCTTCCACAGCAGCAGTTGCTGCTTCACCTTGCACTTCTAGGTTATGGAGACAGCTTCTTCCTTAGCCTATACTAGGTTTTAATCTTTGCTAGCTTCCTCACCTCTATCAGCCTTCATGGAATTGAAGAGAGTTGGAGACTTTCTCTGGATTAGGCTTTGGTTTAAGGAAATGTTGTGGCTGATTTGATCTTCTATTCAGACACAAAAACTTTTCTTCATATCAGTAATAAGCATGTATCACTTTCTTATTATTCATATGTTCACTGGAGTAGCACTTTAATTTCCTCCAAGAACTATTCCTTTGCATTCACAACTTGGCTAACCAATTGGTGCAAGAGGCCTAGCTTTCAAACCTGTCTCACCTTTCCACATGCCTTCCTCACTAATGTTAGTCATTTATAGCTTTTCATTTAAAATGAGAGATATGGTCGGGCGCAGTGGCTCACTCCTGTAATCTCAGAACTTTGGGAGGCCAAGGACCAGTGGATCACTTGAGGTCAGGAGATCGAGATCAGCTGGACCAACATGGTGAAACCCCATCTCTACTAAAAATACAAAAAAAAAAAAAAGCTGGGCATAGTGTTGGGCACCTGTAATCTCAGCTACTAGGGAAGCTGAGGCAGGAAAATTGCTTGAACCCAGGAGGTGGAGGTTGCAGTGAGCCGAGATAGTGCCACCGCACTCCAGCCTGGGCGACAGAGCAAGAATCTGTCTCAAAAATAAATAGATGGATTATAGATAGATAGATAGATAGATAGATAGATAGATAGATAGATAGATAGACAACTCTTCATTTCACTCAAACTCTTAGAGGCCATTGTGGCATTATTAATTGGCCTAATTTAATATTGTTGTGTCTCAGGGAATAGGGAGGCCTGAGGAGAGAGAGAGAGATGGGAAACAGCTGATTAGTGGAACTATCAGAACATGCACGTTTATAGATTCGTTTGATAAAGAACTTTTATAGATTAAGTTCTATAGAGAACATTTATAGATTAAGTTCTGTTAAGGTGGGTCCAGTTCATGGTGTCCCAAAACATTTGAAATATAATAGTAATATCAAAGATTACTGATCACAGATCACCATAACAGATATACAAATAATGAAAAAGCTTGAAATGTGCAAATTACTAAAATGTCACCCAGACAATAAGTGAGCACATACTGTTGGAAAAATGATGCTTATAGACTTGCTTGATGCAGGGTTGCCACAAACCTTCAATCTGGAAAAAAATGCAATATCTGCAAAACACAGTAAAGCAAAGCACAATAAAATGAGGCATGCCTGTACAAAATCAATACAAGGCAATATAAAGAAAAAATATCAAAAACAAAAAGAACACAGAAGAAAAATGTGACTAAGGAGAAAAAAAAATCAAATAATAATACATTCATTAAATCATATTGTGAAGCTGTAATAATTAAAACAGGAGGTAGTGACACGAGTAGACAGATAGATGAACAGATTAGTAAATTCAGAAGCTGACCCAAAGACATATGTGAATTTAGTATATGGCAAAGATGTCATCTCAAGTCAGCATGAAAAAGAGGTACTGTTTAATAAATGGTGTTAAAGCAGCTAGGAAAACATCCAAAAAATGTTTACATCAAATCCATACTTCACACCATATACCAAGATAAATTTCAAATAGAGCAAAAGTTTCAATTCTTACCAAACACTGCTAGAAACAAAACTTAATAATGTGTACATACTTCCATCATTGGCCATCTATGAGGATATTTGATGCCCCAGCAATTGATAATTTCAACACTTTTAATAATTGCAAATCAAATGAGTAGAAATATGACACCTTGTTTTACATTTGCTATTCTCTGGTTACTGCAGTTTAAATATATTTTAATGTGTTTATTGACCATTTGAATTCCCTCTTTTGTGAATTTGCCTGTTTGAATCTTTGTCTGCTTTTTTATTTTGTTTTATTTGGTTGTTTGTCTTTTTCATATTGATTATTTTAGGATTCCTTTTTACTTTCTAGAAAGCAGTCCAAGTTTGCTTTGTGTGAGGCAATTAGTTTCTTCTATATCATTACTTATCTTTTAATTGTATATATGGTATATTCTGATGTGCACCTGTTTTTAATTTTGATGGAGTCAAGTTGTCATTCTTTTCCTTTGTGATTTTTCTTTTTTGTGTCTTGTCGAGGAGGACTTCCTGACCTCAAGGTCAGAAAGATGTTCTATATTGTCTACAAAGAAGGAGAAGAAAACAGAGAGGAGAAAGAGAAAGGAAAAGAAAATATTTAATTTTTATAGTATATATTTGATTCCTATAGTATAGCAAAGCACATAAGAAAAATAAAAGGCAAATGACAAACTAAGGATAATATCTGTAATGTATATCACAGGCCAATCTTTTTTTTTTTTTTTTTTTTTTTTTGAGACAGAGTTTCCCTCTTGTTGCCCAGGCTGGTGCGATGTTAGCTCACTGTAGCTGTTCAAGCCATTCTCCTGTCTCAACCTCCTAAGTAGCTGGGATTATAGGCGCTACCACACCTGGCTGATTTCTGTATTTTTAGTAGAGACAGGATTTCACCATGTTGGCCAGGCTGATCTCGAACTCCTGACCTTAGGTCATCCACCAGCCTCAGCCTCCCAAAGGGCTGGGATTACAGGCGTGAGCCACCTTTCCCAGCCCCAATCTTTATAATATAAAAACAATACTGGAAAGCCACAAGAATATATAGCAACACAAAAGACAACTGTCAAAATACATTATCAGTTGATAATGATAGAACTGTTGATAGAAAATGAAATACAAAAAACTTTAATTGGATAATAGAAGAAATACTAATTTAGAATAAGCTATGTTTCACCTAACAGATTAACAAAAACCCTTAAATTTTGACAACAGCCCATTGACAAGGCAATGGAAAAACAGATACTTTCAGTTATTGCTGATGAGAATATAAATTGGCACGAGGCCTATGGAAGGCAATTTGAAAACTTTTTCTAAATTACAAATATATACAACTGTTTATTCAGCAGTTCTATTTCTGACAATGTATATTAAACTTACATATATGAAAATAAACAATATGCATTGCAGCACTGTGAGAGCAAAAAACTGGACTATTTTAAATTATCAACAGGGATCCGATTAGAAAAATTATATCTGTACAACAGCATCCGACGCTGCTGTAAAAAAAGAAAGAGGAAGCTTTCCATATACTGATACATAAAGATCTGTGAAATGCATTGTATGTTTTTTGTTTGGGGTTTTTTAATGAAAATTAAGATGTACAATGTGGTGTTTTGATATACATACTGAGCTGATTACTACAGTCAAGCTAATTAATATATCCATCTTTTAGTATAGTTGTCTTTTCTCTGTGTGTGGGAGAGTGGTAAGAACACTTAAGATCTACTCTGTTAGCAAATTTCAAGTGTACAATACAGTATTAACTATTATGTTGTGCACTGCAGCATTATTCACGATTACCAAGATATGAATAAATTATTATACACACACACACGTGGAATATTATTCAGCCTTAAAAAAGAAGGATAGCCTGCCATTTGCAACAACGTGGATGAACCTGTGGAATATTACGCTAAGTGAAATAAGCCCACACAAAAAAATGCTGCATGATCTCACTTATAGGTGGAATCTTAAAAAGTTGAATTTATAGAAACAGAGAGTTGAATGGTGGTTACCAGGGATGGAGAAGTGGGGGGAATGGGGAGGCCCTTGTCAAGGGGCACAAAGTTCCAGTTGTATAGGATGAATAAATTCTAAAGGCCTACTATACAGCATGATGGCTCTAGTTAATAATAATATTGTATATGGGACCTGTATTGTTAATTTAACAAAGCAACTTGTGGAACAAATGGGTAGGAGACAGAGTTTTGTGCTAGGCAGGGAAAGAATATATCATTTATTGGTTTGTATTTGCCTGAAGAAACTCTTGGAGAACTCAAAATGAGCTAATTACAGTGGTTACCAATGTGTGAAAAAGGGACAGGAGGTAAATGAGGAAAAATATAATGAGGAAAGGGAGGCTTTGCAGACTACACATATTTACATTTTTAAAAATTTTTTAGGCCGGGTGTGGTGGCTCACACCTGTAATCCCAGCACTTTGGGAGGCCGAGGCAGGCGGATCATGAGGTCACAAGATCAAGACCATCCTGGCTAACACGGTGAAACTCCATCTCTACTGAAAATACAAAACATTAGCCAGGCGTGGTGGTGGGCGCCTGTAGTCCCAGCTACTTGGGAGACTGAGGCAGGAGAATGGCCTGAACCCAGGAGGCAGAGCTTGCAGTGAGTCGAGATCATGCCACTGCACTCCAACCTGGGCAACAGAGTGAGACTCTGTCTCAAAAAAAAAAAAAATCTGAAACATTGTATTGCCTATTCAACTGATTTAATTTAAAAATTAATTTATTTTAAAACAACTAAACTCAATAATATTAATTTAGTTCAAAAAATAGAAGCCAAACAATAAAGGTGATACCTTTGGCTATCTTTCTCCCTGTCTCAGAGTTTGAAAAATTGTAGAGATTCAGTGGAGAGGTGGTCTTCTGATTAAAGTTCTAGTATGATGCTATTTTTATGTGTCAAAACAAATTAAGTTTCCTATGATGTTTCAGGACAGGAATTATAAATTCAAAATGTTTTTTCTAAAGGATACTATAAAGGGATGAAACAATTTATGGTAAGCTGAAGCAGTGAAGATATTCCATGCAATACAAAAATATCAACTTCAAATTAGTCTGAAGATCACATATAAAGGGAAGAAAACAACTTTACCACTAAATGATCAACCGACAACATGAAGCAGAATATAATGAAATGCATAACATTTTATTATCACATCTATTTTTTGCAATTCAGAAAAACCATAAAGGATATCTTCCAAATCTGTAATTTAACACATAACACTGTAACACATTTCTAAAGCAAGTTTTAAAATGAGTCAGCCTTATAAGGCTGAGTGACATTTTGTCACAGATTTAAAGGAAAATCCTGTCTCTGTTAAGATCTTATAATACATATATAATAAAGAAACGCACAGAATAAGGTTAGACAAATTTGAGAATTTTGTTATCACCTTAACATCAGGGTGTTAATGCATATGTAACCACAAGTATTAGAACTATTTCTTCCATTATATCAGATGACAAGAAAGGTGCCTGAAAATTGTCTTATTTGTTCAGGTAAATTAAATGATGTCAGATCAATGAATGATGTGCTTATCATTATAGAATCTAGATGTTCAGTGTATCATGGGCTAAAACAACATTTGTAATGGTGTGAAAATGAAATACTTCAACATCAAAAAGATTCATTTCCCAGAGAGGACTTATTTTTATAGTTATTCTTTTTCTGTTGGACTAGCTGGCTTATGATTCTTGTCTGTGGAAAAAGAACCTGAAAAAAATAACTGTCACTGTAATTAAGCACAGCAAAGGTAGAGAAACAAAGGGAGCATTCAAAACGGATAGAGGGGTGGGGAGGGATGTCACTGGGGAACATTCTTGTGTTCGTTAGTTCACCTGAAACTAACTCTTAAAGTTGAAGAACTAAATATTGTTCTCATAGAAGCACATACTTGGTGTACAAGAAGGAATGACCACAGGATGGGGCCAAAGGCGAAGACAGTTGAAACTCAATGAGCTGAAAAACTTACTATAAAGGGAAAAAAGGAAAGGGACATTCTCAAGACATTTTACTACAGATCCTGTGGAAGTAATGCCATTTAGTCTTTATTGACTTTTCCTTAAACTTTGGCATTTTTACACTTTTTTTTAACTATTTAATTTCAGCAGGTGAGGGAAGAGCAGGAATGCCAAACTCCTGGTGTCTCCCTCAGCACAGGTCCTGCTCCATAAAGGTTTTTGGCCTTGAAAGGTCTGTGGCTCCACCCAGGGCTGCAAGGATGGATGTCAACTTTGGGCAGAACAAGAGAAACAGGCCCAGGAATGGGAAAGGGTTATGACCACTAACCCTGCTACCATATGGTCAGATATTTTTTATTCATGAAGAGAAGTTAAAAATCTATATCTCATATATTCTTGATATTTAAATGTTTTTTAAAAGTTGTTCACAGCCTGAGGGTAGCTAGTTTGCAACCCGTGTGCTTTAATAGTAGTAACAGGTAACCCTTATGCAAAACTCCCTATGCACCAGGGGTTGTTCTAAGTATTTTATATATATAACCTCATTTCAAACTCCTAATAACCACTTGAGGTAAGACCTTTTTATCCCCATATTTAAGATGAGTAAACTGAGGCACAAACAAGTCTATAGCTTGCCCCAGGTGGCACAGCTGGCAAATGGCAGAGGTAGGACTTGAACCTACAGAGTCCGCTCCAGAATTCATACTCTCAAACACAAAGATGTTTCTATAAGAAAATTTCCCCTTCAAAGAGCCAGTTATAAATATTTGTTCAATTATGGAACTAAATCAGCTAACCCTGGCCCTATGCCTACTGATGTATTTCAGGTAAATATTTTTCTGAAATTATTTTTTAAATTTTTGAGAAATTAATGAGCCATCAGTGTTTCTGAAGGGCCCAATTTGAAAGAGAAGTTATTTTGAAAAACTTAAGCTTACTATGTATTATTTTCTAGCTGTAAAACATCATTTTGAAAAAATATATATTTTTATGTTTTAGCTACCATGTGTCATTTTGCTTTTGAATAACTTTCTTATTGAAAATACTGAACTGATACCAGAAGCCAACTGAAATAATGACTTCTAAGTTTTATTTGAAGATTGAATTCACACTGTTTAAACATTTCTTTTTTTTTCTTTTTTTTTTTTTTTCTTTTTGAGACAGGGTCTCTCACTCCATCGCCCAGGCTGGGGTGCAGTGGCACAATTACGGCTCATTGTAGCCTCTGCCTCCCAGGCTCAGATGGTCCTCCTTCCTCAGCCTCCTGAGTAGCTGGTACTACAGGCATGCATAACCATCCAGCTAATTTTTGGTTTTTTTTGTAGAGACATGGTTTCTCCGTGTTGCCCAGGCTGGTCGAACTTCCGGGCTCAAGTTATCTACCAACCTCAGCCTCCCAAAGGGCTGGGATTACAAGTGTGAGCCATCACACCTGGACCATAAATACCTTTTTCAAAAACTAGGAGCTCATCTTATATTACACTTTAACTCTTCAAAATTTTGCACTTTATTATCTAATTTTATATTCTTATCAATTTAAAATTAGTCAATTTATATATGAAAAACAAAGGGGCTAGAGACTGCTTACTCCTTGTGTGAAAAATGTGGAACTGTCTGGTATGCACCGTGTGGATCTACTGGCACCTCACTATGTGTGGAAGTCCTTTCAATTTATTTGTTTCACCTGGGAAGTTTAGTAGCTACTTTGAGAAATGGAATTACCACATCATCCTTTGAGGAGAGCATAATGTAAAGTTGTCTCAAAACCTGCATTCAACTTGGCATTCAAAGTCATCAAGTCAGACTTCAACAATTCTAAGAATAACTATTAACGTCAGCATTTCTGGGCATTTTCCTTCCATTCCTAAATTGTTAAAACAGAGATCGAGATCATTATCTCAAACATGTTTATCATGAAGTTCAGATAATATGAAATACTGTATAATAATAGTATGTTGCCTCAGAGACATATTTAATTGGGGACTAAAATGTTTGCGTATATTGAGTATATTACTTTTAGTATACAGCGACAATGGCTCATATAATGAAAACGATCATCATTGTGATAGAGGGCTCTGAATAAATTCTGTTGATCTTTTCTTAATACTATACAGGCCAGGCTAGTCTCTATAATTTTTTATTTTTATTATTTTTTTTGAGACATATTTCTCACTCTGTCGCCCAGACTGGAGTGCAGTGGTGTGATCTTGGCTCACTGCAAACTCCGCCTCGCGAGTTCAAGCAATTCTCTGCCTCAGCCTCCCGAGTAGCTGGGATTACAGGCGCCAATGACCACGCCCAGCTAATTTTTGTATTTTTAGTAGAGACGGGGTTTCACCATCTTGGCCAGGCTGGTCTTGAACTCCTGATCTAGTAATCCACCCTCCTTGGCCTCCCAAAGTGTTGAGATTACAGTCATGAGCCAGGGTGCCCGGCCTAGTCTCTACATTTTGCAGTAGGAATTTAATTGTGTGCATTTGTGTGAGGTAATGCAATATACGTAACATATTTAATATTCTCTCTCTGTCTCTTTCTACACACACACACATACACGCGCGCGCGCACACACACACACACACACACACACACATATATCATACAAAAATGTCCACATGTTATATTGGTATATTTTTCAAAGTAAATTTATAGTGAACATTTTTCCCATCTTTTATTATCTCACCTGGATGCTTTAAAACAGCCAAAAACTAAAATACAATATCCATGTTGCAATCTGGTTATGCTTTGGAAGGATAAACATCTATAATAACCTTAAAATATTTTAAAATTATATAAAATAGGTGAATTATTACACTAGCAGCAGTAAAATTTCTTACCAGAAAAGCTTGATCTAACAGTTGAAAATGCCATTAGCCTTCATGGAAGACAAGAACATGCTCTCTACTTTGCCAACAAACATACAATATAAGTTTTCTTCTACAAAATAAATTCATATTTTGAAAAGCCATACTTCTGGAGCTTTGATTTACATTTCTGATGGTGGCGAATTAGGAAATTAGACTAAGCACATTAATGAATCTAGAGGATAGTCATTTTCAGTCCAATAATGATATGAAAGCAGTACCCTACCAAAAGATTATACCTAACTTCACATAAAACTTCCGATATTCTAGAAGATGGCACCAACATCTGCAACAGTAATAATAGTAGTGATCCTTTATTCAGCCTTAGTAATTATGTGCAAACTTTATATGCAGTTCATAACTGGCAATGGAAGTAAGACAGCATTTGTATAGTGTAAGATAGCAACCTGTCCATGACTGCCTTGGTCACAAAATCTCTGTGTCCTCTGCAGTTCCAGGATGAATATGAGTAACTGCAGTTGTGTATTTTACGCTAGTGAAAAACATTAAAATTGATGAAAAGGCAAATACAATGTGCTTAACTGATCCCTCCCCTCAAAAATCTAACCCTTGTGTCATTTTTTAAAATGGTTAAGAAATAGGTTGACTTTCTGTACAGCATGAAAATTTCTTTGGCTCAAGCCTCCACTAGAAAACCTAAGACAAGGTCAGGTGCAGTGGCTCATGCCTGTAATCCCAACACTTTGGGAGGCCGAGGCAGGCGGATCACGAGGTCAAGAGATCAAGACCATCCTGGCTAACATGGTGAAACCCTGTCTCTACTCAAAACACAAAAAATTAGCCAGGCGTGGTGGCGGGCACCTGTAGTCCCAGCTACTCAGGAGGTTGAGGCAGGAGAATTGCTTGAACCTGGGAGGTGGAGGTTGCAGTGAGCCGAGGTCGTGCCACTGCACTCCAGCCTGGGTGACAGTGCGAGACTCGGTCTCAAAAAAAAAAAAAAAAAAAAAAAAAACCTAAGACAAATCCTACTGGATAACACTGTCCTTCAACACATGCAAACCATGTGGTGACAAAGCAAAAATAAAAAAATCACTATTTGAAAGTGACCCCAATCAAGGCACCCAGACTCACTGGTTACTCACAGTTTTTTTTCTTGCCCTTCCGGTGGTGTACACTGTTTTCAGAAGGTTGACTATTCACTCTCCAATGGCATAAGCCTGTTGCATCATATCTACAGGTGTTACCCTGTAGATAACTTGTATCCGTACCTTTCAGAGATGTTAACTGTAAGGAAGAAACCTAAAAAATTCATTCTGATAGAATGACCCTCCATCAGGTCCAATTCTTTCTAAAGAAACCTCTCTTGTAGAGAGTGCTTGTGTGGAAAAGAAACAACTACATTCAGTGTATGCAGAAGTATGATCCTCCATACTTACTCTGAGCAGTCTACTTTTTCACTATTAAAGCTCCATCTGTACCTGATATTGCCTATAAGGTCACCACTATCATCTCCAAATTCAGACTTTTAGCTCGGTACAGCTCCAAATCCTCCTTAGAATAAGCAAGAGTGATTCCCTGAAGTGGCACCGTGAAACGATGTCAAAGCATTAATGTTCCTCATTAACATAAGATACTGGGGAACATTATTAAAGACAAACACATATGAACAACAAAAGGTAGTTCTCTGCCCCAGAATTTCGACTCCCTCCCTTACTCCATGCAATTTCAGCCAGTAAAGAGCTTGGCTTGCTTTTTACAAGCAGGGTCTCCCTCTATCGCCCAGGCTGGGGTGCAATGGTGCAACCATAGTTCACTGCAGCCACAAACTCCTGGGCTCAAATGATCCTCCCACCTCAGCCTCCCAAGTAGCTAGAACTACAGACACATGCCACCATGCCCAGCTAATTTTTTAAAAAAAAAACTTTTTGTAGACACAGAGTCTCACTATGTTGCCCAGGCTGGTCTCATACTCTTGGCCTCATGCAATCCTCCTGCTCAGCCTCCCAAAGCACTGGGATTATAGGTGTGAGCCACTCCACCTGGCATAGCTGGACATTTTTACTGTGCAAATACTAAATATTTGAGTCACCCCTACTACTTTCTCCTATGACCTGGACGATGCCAGCACTGAAAGGTAAGTGAGAAGTTTGAGGAAGTCACTGAAAACTCAGTAGACATTCAGGCCTTCATCTGCTTTTTCTTCCAATTGAGCTGGATCCATGGAGACAGAGTGAACAGCATTGGACAGGAAGCCAAACTTAGCTAGGTAGCACAGAGGTCTTAGATAAAGCAAACAAAGCAGGGCTTTGTGAGGTGACAAAAAGGAAATGAGCAAAGTCACACCCTAAGCCCATCCTCCAGGCAGTCCAGTGAGCAGGAAACAAAGCCACAAAACCAATGGCCCCAGTGTTGAGAATATACCGTACAGGTGGTCAAAAGGAAGTTCAAGTTAGGTTCTGCCTTTTAACCCACTTCAATGTATTCTAATTGCCTACAGTTGTACTCTAAGAAAATAAGGGAAGGGACTTCTTACTTTTAAGCTTATATTAAACATCACATATTCATATACTGAAGCTCTTTTTAAAAATAAAATGAGTCTAATCTTACAAAATGTTTTCTTATATTAACAAAGAAATCTATGAGTAATTGCTAACAGTGCTATTTATTTTAGAAACTGAAAAGAAAAAAAAAATGAAAGACAACTTAAAGATTTACATTCTGCCCAGATTCTCCTTGTCACTTAGCAAGGATAAACCCAAGCTTTCAGATGTTAAACATTTTTCCTATTCTCAAAATGCAGAGAGGCCACTGTTGATAATGAGGACCATGATGGCATTTTAAACCAGAATACTTATTGAACACCTAATAATACCTAGACAATAAGAAAATTACATCTAATCTAAACACTAAGGACAATACTATCAATGTTGAGTAGAGCAAAGAAATAGAATATTTACAAACAATTAAAAGTTAAATTATGGAATAAATATTTTTGTCATAGACATTTGGGAAAAATATTGAGTGTTTATGTGTGTGTGCATGTGTGCGTGTGTTTGTGTACAGTCATGTACTGCATAATGACATTTTAGTCAATAACAGACTACATACACAACAGTGGCCCCATAAGATTATAGATCTGAAAAATTCCTATCCCCTAGTGACCCTGTAGCTGTCAAAATGTTGTAGCACAACACATTACTCATGAGATCATCATGATGCTGGTATAAACAAACCTACTGTGCTGCCAGTCATGTAATAGCATAGCACATACAGTATGGACAGTACATAACACCTGATAATAAATGACTGTGTTATTGGTTTATATATTTACTATGCTAAACTTATCATTACTTTAGAGTGTATTTCTTCCGCTTATTAAAAAATAAGTTTAAGTGGATAACAGCCTCAGGCTGATCCTTCAGAAGGAATGCCTTCCAGAAAAACGCATTTATTTAGGAATGCTTTCCAGGAAAAGGCATTTTTGTCATAGGAGAAAAATCTATGGGTCATAACATAGGACATGACAGTTTCATGCGGGCTATTGCCCCTGAAGGCCTTCCAGGACCTTCTACATGAAGGGGTTATTGCCCCCGGAAGGCCTTCAGGGGCAATATGTTCCAGGACAACATGAAGGTCCCGGAAGGCCTTCAGGGGCAATATGTCCCAGGACAACAGGTAGAAGTGGTAAACAGTGGTATTTTCCACCAGCATAGGCCCAGGCCAAGATGTGTGTTTGTGTCTACATTTTTAGCAAAATAGTTATAAAATAAAAGAAAATTAAAAATAGAAAAGGTACGTGGAATAGGGATGTCAAGATACAAAGGATATAAAGAAAATATTTTTGTACAGCTGCACAATGTATTTGTGTTTAAGTGTTATTATGAAATAGTCAAAAGGTTTAAAACCATTTAAAAGTTTATAAACTAAAAAAGTTACAGTAAGCTAAGGTTATTAAAGAAAGAAAACTTTTTAAATAAATTTAGAGTTACCTAAACGTACATTGTTTATAAAGTTTACAGTAGCGTACAATAATGTCCTAGGCCTTCACATTCACTCACTCACTCACACCATTCACTCACTACTCACTCAGGGAGTGACTCATCCAGAGCAACTTGCAGTCCTGCAAGCTCTGTTCATGGTAAGTGCCCTAAACAGGTGGACCACTTTAAAAACCTTTTGTATCATATTTTTACTATGCCTTTTCTATGTTTAGATACACAAATACTATTGTATTATAATTACCTATAGTATTGAATTCTATATTACAATTATATACTGTATTACAATTAACTATGGTATAGTACCATTACTATTGTAATACAGTACATAATTGTAATATAGTATTCAGTACTATACGTAATTGTAATACAATAGTATTTGTGTATTTAAACACAGAAAAGGTATAGTAAAATGCTGTACCTTTTTATTAATATGTCGTACAGGTTTGTAGCCTAGGAGCAATAGGCTATACCATATAGCCTATATGTGTATAGACTATGCCATCTAGGTTTATGTAAATATACTCTATGATACTCATACAAAAATGAAATTGCCTAATGACTAATTTCTCAGAACATATTCCCCATCATTAAGTGATCCATTACTCTCTCTATATATAGTACAAAACTATATGTACTCTATATATATACTGCTTAAGTATATAGTACACAGTCATGTATCACTTAATGATGGGATATATATCATCATATGTATATACAGATGGCCCCCAGTGATAATGATTTAACTTATAATTTTTTGACTTTTTGATGATACAAAAGCAATGTTTATTCAGTAGAAACTCTACTTCAAGTACCCATACAATCATTCTGATTTTCACTTTCAGAACAGTATTCAATAAATTATATGAGATATTAGAATAGGCTTTGTGTTAGATTATTTTGCCCAACTGTAGACTAATTTAAGTGTTCTAAGCACATTTATGGTAGGCTAGGATGAGCTAGGATGTTTGATATGTTAGGTGTATTATTTTTTAAGATGGAGTCTCGCTCTGTTGCCCATGCTGGAGTGCAGTGGTATGATCTCGGCTCACTGCAACCTCACCTCCTGGATGCAAGCGATTCTCCTGCCTCAGCCTCCTGAGTAGCTGGGATTACAGGTGTGCATAATCACACCTGGCTAATTTTTGTATTTTTAGTAGAGATGGGGTTTCAGCATGTTGGTCAGGCTGGTCTCAAACTCCTGACCTCGTGATCTGCCCACCTCGGCCTCCCAAAGTGCTGGGATTACAGGTGTGAGCCACTGCGCCTGGCCATTAGGTGTGTTAAATGCATTTTCCTCTTACAATATTTTCAACGTAGGATAAATTTATTGGGATGCAGTCCCATCATAAGTGGAGGAGCATCTGTATATAGGATTGAGTGTCTAGGTAACGTTTCAGGAAGCACACAGGAAGATCTAATTGGTGTGTAAGCAAAGGATAGTAGCCAAGACATCCTGAATCCCCTGAAACAACTCATTCAAAATAAGAGAAATAGGAATGAGTATAGTATGTGTGAAGAGACAATGAGTGAAATTAATCTGGGCAAATTAGACTGCATAGATTAGGGAGCAATGAAAAATAAATCTATATAGGTCAGGTAGTCTCCGTCTTGTGTACATAGCCAAAAACTTGAAATTGATCTCAATACAACATTATAGGTTCTATAAGAGGAGCTGACACAATGGAAGACATGTTTTAGGACACTATGCAGGTTAGGTTTAGAAAAGGATGACTTAAGTCATGCATATTAGCCATAAGGCTAAATCAAATATTCAGACATGTTGTCATAAAGATATGACCAATAGGACACTTGAAAAGGAAATGAAAGGGTAAATTTGAGAAACACTGAAAAAGGAGGAAACCCAAGTCCCTAATAGACTGGATATGGAAGAGTAAAAGAACACATGAAAAGTGACTCCAACAATCCTTTCAAAATAGAGATGCCTACAGAATACTACCAGAACCTACTGAGAGAAATGGAGAGGTTGAGAAATGTGGCCTTGGATAAGAATGGGGTGGGACTTTATTTTTTTATTTACTATAATTTAAAGCAATGACTATGAGCACTCAATACTTCCCTAAATCGCCATCAATGGAAAAAAAAAAAAAAAACATTCTAGTTCTGAGGAGCTTTTAATGTAGTTTGCCAAAAACGCAATGCATACTGTTAAATGAAATGAAAAGAAACAAAACTAAATGTGAAAACTGTGATAATGAATTAAATGCTGGTTTTTCTTAATCACTGATATAACCTAAAATAAAGGACTAAGACAGGAAATGGGGGCAGTGGATTAAAATGTCACAAATGGAAAGCAGGATGCTGAATCTTGAGTTATGCATTGAGAGATTAGAGATAGAGAAGGAAGAACTGAGGTGGAGCCAGCCAGAGCAGAATCTGCTGAGCTATCACAGTGGGCCATGTGGCTAGGGAAGCTATGCAAGTAAATCTTAAGTGAAAGGAACAAG